>NC_000012.12:110187400-110338915 GCF_000001405.40 Homo sapiens
CTACAGGCACCCACCACCACACCCGGCTAATTTTTTGTATTTTTAGTAAAGACAGAATTTCACCATGTTGGCCAGGCTGGTCTTGAACTCCTGACTTCAAGTGATCTGCCCTTCTCGGCCTCCCAAAGTGATGGGATTACATGCATAAGCTACTGTTCCTGGCCATGTATTTTTTTCTCTTGATTTTCATTCATTTGGGCCTATTACTTTGCTTACTTGGTAATTTTTTATTGAATGTTGGGTGTAAAGTGTCATTAAATTTTAGAAGCTCTGACTATATTTGTTTTTCTATAAGGAGGATTTAATTTTTTTCTAGAAAGTTACCTTGATCAAGTTGAGGGTAGCTTTTTTGTTTTGTTTTGTTTTTTGTTTTTCTTAAGCTGGTATTTCTCCAGTTTTCTCTTAATCCAAAGATATAGTTCTCGTACCTGTGGTAGAGACTTTAGGAAGTGGTCCTTACTCCAAGGATGTAGGTCTTACTGCTAGGTTATAGACCTTCTAAGGAGTAGACCTTCTAGGTTTTCAGCTGATAATGTGAGGCATTTACCAAAGCCTGTGCACCCTGGAAAGTCCTGAATTCCTACCTTTATCTCCCTAGTACTGTGAGACTGCTACAATCTTTGCTCAGCTCTTTAATAACCTATCTGCTCGGCCGGGCGCGGTGGCTCACGCCTGTAATCCCAACACTTTGGGAGGCTGAGGCGGGTGGATCACGAGGTCAGGAGATCAAGAACATCCTGGCTAACACAGTGAAACCCTGTCTCTACTAAAAATACAAAAAAGTCGCTGGGCATGGTGGTGGGTGCCGGGAATCCCAGCTGCTCGGGAGGCTGAGGCAGGAGAATGGCATGAACCTGGGAGGCGGAGGTTGCAGTGAGCCGAGATCGTGCCACTGCACTCCAGCCTGAGCGACAGAGCAAGACTCCGTCTCAAAAAAAAAAAATTAAAAAAAAAAATAACCCATCTGCTGATTTCCGCTTGGTTTTTGAGAGCCTTACTCTGCTTGTGCATATCCTAAGATTTGGTAATGCCTAAAGAGGAAAATGCATACAGAATCTGGGGCTAATTCTCTGTAGTTCCCTCTACCCCTTTAGGTCCCAGTCCTATTGACAGGCCAGAATCTTAACTCTTCTTCCATTCTGTCTTTCCTTGTCTTTCTTTCCTTTTGGTTCTTTCATTCTTTTTTGAACTCTCTTCAATACAGTTTTCGCACTTACCATTCCACTAAAATGTCTTTTGTCAGGCTGGGCACGGTGGCTCACGCCTGTAATCCCAGCACTTTGAGAAGCCAAGGTGGGTGGATCATGAGGTCAGGAGATCAAGACCATCCTGGCTAACATAGTGAAACCCTATCTCTACTAAAAATACAAAAAAAAAAAAAAATTAGGCATAGTGGCACGCGCCTGTAATCCCAGCTACTTGGGAGGCTGAGGCAGGAGAATCGCTTGAACCCGGGAGTCGGAGGTTGCAGTGAGCCAAGATCGCACCACTGCACTCCACCCTGGGTGACAGAGCAAGACTCCGTCTCAAAAAAAAAAAAAAGTCTTTCGTCAGGTCACCAGTACCTTCACATTGCCAAATCCAATGATTAATTATTAGTCCTTTCCTTACTTGACCTAGTAGCAGCATTTAGCATAGTTGATCATTCCATCTTCCTGTAAAACTTCTTCTTCTGTCTTCTAAGACACTACACTTTCCTGGTTTTTCTTCCTAACTAACACTCCTATTCCTATTCTATTGCTGATTTCTTATCATTTCTTTAAAGTTTAAATGTTGGGGTTCCCTAGGCTTAGCCCTTGGATCTGCTTTCTATCTTCACTTCCTTGGTGATCTTATCCTGTCTCATGGTTGTAAAGGCCCCCTCTTATATTGTGACAACTCACCAATTTATATCTCCAGCCTAGATTTCTCCTCTAATTCTAGTCCTTTTTAAAATTTTATTTATTTATTTATTTATTTATTTTTTGAGACAGAGTCTCACTCTTTTGCCCAGACCGGAGTGCAGTGGTGCAGTCTCGGCTCACTGCAAGCTCCACCTCCCGGGTTCAAGTGATTCTCCTGCCTCAGCCTCCCAAGTAGCTGGGATTACAGGTGCCCACCAACACATCTGGCTAATTTTTGTATTTTTAGTAGAGACAAGGTTTCGCCATGTTGGCCAGTCTGGTCTCAAACTCCTGACCTTAGGGGATCCACCTGCCTCAGCCTCCCAAAGTAGTGGGATTACAGGCGCGAGCCACCACACCTGGCCTAATTCCAGTCTTACACATATAACATCTTGACCTTTCCATTTGGATATCTAATATATATTTCAAATTTTTAACATGTCCAAAAATAAACTTCTGATCTGCACCACCTCCTTAAACTAGTCTTCCCCATTCTTCTTCCTCTCAACAAATGGAAACTTCATCCTGTTAGTCTCTCAAGTCAGAAACCTTGAACTCATTCTTTATCCTTTACTTGCGTTCACATCCCTACATCTAATTTGTCGCATTATCTTGTTTGATCTGCCTTCAAAATATACACAGAACCATTTCTCATTATTTCTGTCACCACCACCCTGATTCATGCTACCATTTTCTTTAACTTGAACTATTGAGACGGTCTTCTAATTGGCCTCCCTGCTCCTACCTAGCCTGATCTCAGCACAGATGTTAAAGTGATCATTTTAAAATTGCCTTAACTCTGAACCTTTCAACAGCTGCCTATCTCATTTTAAAGAAAACAAAGCTCTTTCATCAGCTTAAAAATAAGATAACAATACAACTTATTATCTAAAGTAGGATACTTCTTGAGAGTGCAAGGGACAATAGATGTACACTGAGACCTAGCAAACCAGCTGAACCCCATGTAACCCCTCCTTCACCCCCACCTTATTCTCACTGCACCTCCTTACTGTTTCTTGAACTGGTCAAGTTTGCTCCCAGCTTTTGCACTTGCTGATTCCCTCACTTCCTACGGGGCTTTGCTCAGATGTCATCTTCTCAGGATCATCTTCTCTGGATCATCTTCTCTAACCACCTTCTGGTTATACTATATTTATTTATTTACTTATTTACATATTGCTTATTTATTCCCACTAGTAGTAAGCTCTGTGAGGGAAGGGATTTTTTTTTTCCTGTTCTATTCACTGCCGTATACCTGGTGCCTAGAACTGTGATTGGCACATTTACATATATAATAAATATTGGATGAGTGAACATATCATTTGAGAATTCATTCTTTCATCAAATGTTTATTGAATGTACCCTATGTTTTAGGTTCTGTGCTGAGTACATAACATTATTATAAAGTCTACGATTAGAAATACTTCCTATGTACCTGAAGATACCATAGGTTTATAATATACAAAGGCATGTAATTGAATGAAATAATAATTGAAGTCAATGAAGATTGTCCTTTAGGATTCTAAACTAATTAATTCTATTTACAATTTTTTGTTATGTATGAAATTTGTACATTTCTTATGGGAGCCAGCAAGATTTTGACATGTTTTGTGGCCTTTTTATTTTTTACTTATAGCAAACTATGGAGGAGAAAAAGGGTATATCTGGATATAGTTACACCCAAGAAGAGCTAGAAAGAGTATCTGCACTGAAGAGTGAAGTTGATGAAATGAAAGGACGAACATTGGATGATATGTCTGAAATGGTGATGATACTTTTATTTAAATTTTCTTTTATTGTGTAGCTAGAAGGCAGGTGTTTTGTGTTAGTTTTATTTTCAGTGAAACATTCACCTGTTAATTTCTGCACATTACATTCTTTCATCTTTTTTTTTTTTTTCTTTTTGAGGCAGAGTCTCACTCTATTGCCCAGGCTAGAGTGCAGTGGCATGAATTTGGCTCACTGTAACATCCACCTCTGGGGTTCAAGTGATTCTCATGCCTCAGCCTCCCAAGTAGCTGGGACTACAGGTGTGTGCCACCATGCCCGGCTAATTTTTGTATTTTTAGTAGAGACAGGGTTTCACCATGTTGGGCAGGCTGGTCTCTACCTCCCGACCTCAAGTGATCCACCTGCCTCAGCCTCCCAAAGTGCTGGGATTACAGGCGTGAGCCACTACACCCGGTCTCATCTGTCTTTATCAATCTCTTTTGAATTTTTTTCATTCTAGTAAGGTTGTTCAAATTCTAATAGTTTATGCATTTTCTGTTTTTTTAATGTGCAAAAGTTATATAACATTAAAGAAATATTTAAGAAGAAAAATAAATTTTCCCAGGTCATACCACCCTAATAGAATTATTTCATTGTTGTGTATGTTCTTAGAATCTTTCCATTTTCAGGACTTGTATTCAATCAGATTGCACTAGTACACTTTCACCAGGCATTAAAATGTTGATATCTTATATTACTTGTTGGTAAATAGCCGCCCCAAACCCTCAGAGTACCCCCCTCCAGTTGTCTTGTCCACATTGGCCATTCCCCCAGAACCCTCTGGATCTCATCACAATCTAACTCCTAAAAAGGTTAGCATGTAAGACCCTGTTCAGGCCAGGCACGGTGGCTCACACCTGTAATCCCAGCACTTTGGGAGGCCGAGGCGGGAGGATCACTTGAGGTCAGGAGTTCGAGACCAGCCTGGCCAACATGGTGAAATCCCGTCTCTACTAAAAATACAAAAATCAGCCGGGCGTGGTGTCGCACTCCTGTAGTTCCAGCTTCTCAGGAGGCTGAGGCATGAGAATCACTTTAACCTGGGAAGCAGAGGTTGCAGTGAGCTGAGATCACACCATTGCACTTCAGCCTGGGCAACCAAGCAAGACTCTGTCTCAAAAAAAAAAAAAAAGACCCCATTCATCTCTCTGATTGGTGTCCATTCTGATGGATCATTACTTATGCTATTTGGACTATACTGTAGTATTTTGAATATCACTCCATCTATATTTATGTATATTTTATATGCCTACATAAATAATACATCATGATTATAGTTGTATAGGGCAATTTTTTAATATATTTATTCAATGTTAAATTATAAAGATTTTCCCGTAATGGTTTACAGTCTTGAGAACTGACGTTTTGAATGATTAAATAGTATAGTATTCCATCTTGCTGAGGAATCAGGATTTTCTAAAGCACTTCTCTGTTGTTTGGGACTGAAGTAATTTGCAGTTTTTTGCTCTTACATTTAACACTGAAATTAATATCTTTATGCATGTAGTATTTTTCTTTTTTTGAATTCTTTTTTAGGTGTTATATTTTTTGTTCAAATAACAGGTGAAAAAACTGTATTCATTGGTATCTGAAAAGAAGTCAGCTCTTGCCTCAGTTATAAAAGAGCTACGACAGTTGCGTCAAAAATATCAAGTAAGTTTTTGATTTTATCAAGTAATTTGATTTTATGATACTTTTAGTATTCTATCTTATTCACATGTGCTAGTTAGAACCCTGGATATTTTACTTGGGTAATATAGAAAACAAATTATCATTATTACGTTATTGATACAATTCTTCAAAAGAGAATTAAAACATGACATACAGGCCAGGTGTGGTGGCTTATGCCTGTAATCCCAGCACTTTGGGAGGTTGAGACAGGAGGATGATCACTTGAGCCCAGGAATTCGAGACCAGCCTGTCTAACAACAAGACCTTGTCTCTACAAAAAATAAAAAAATTAGCTGAGCTTGGTGGCATGCACCTGTAGCCCCAGATTCTCGGGATGCTGAGGTGGGAGGATTGCTTGAACCCAGAAGGTCAGGATTGCAGTGAGCCATGATCATGCCACTGTACTCCAGCTTGGGTGACAGAGTGAGACCCTGTCTCCCACCCCTCCCCCCAAAAATGACTTGCAAGGGTTTTTGTTTAATTTATGCTGCTTATTTAGCCATAAATAATTGGAGGCAGAGGAGATGGAGAAAAAGCAGTTTAAGCTGAAATGCACAAATTCAGCCAGAGGAGATTTTTTCTTTAAATCATATGGACCTTAAAGCTATAAATATGAAGTCACATTCTTCTGTGTCCAGGTAAAAGCTCAAAGTCTGCCCACAAGTGGTGACAAGTTAACTTTAGATTAATGAACTTGCACTGCTAGGAGGCACGGTGCACAGCAAACTATGATAGATTATGAGAAGTGATGAAATACCATTACTTGGAAACTAGTTCTAACCACTGCTTTAAAGATAAATTGTCAGAAGGTAAATGCCCTCTACAAATCCAGATCAGACAGCCTCCACCATTTGACATTCACTGTTCTCTATTTTTAATACTATATTTTTAACTTGTTTAACTATATTTAATACTTGAAACTACAAAAATACATTATGACACTTTCAAAGAGCAGGAATACTTAAAAATACGTAACTTACTTTAATGGACAACCCTGAACTATTAGGAAATTTTACAGGGAAGTGTTAATATATTTCCTTTGTGTGATACTTGCATTTTTTTCTAAATTTGAATATTAACAGCTGTTTGAATATTAGAGCATCACAACTGGATTAGTCTTTTCTCTCATTGCTGTAAATAAATACCTGAGACTAAGTAATTTCTAAAGAAAAAAGTCTTAATTGGCTCATGGTTCTACAGGCTATACAGGAAGCATGATGCAGGCATCTACTCACCTTCTAGGGAGGCCTCAGGAAGCTTACAATCATGGCAGAAGGCAAAGAGAGAGCAGGCATATCACATGGCTAGAGCAGCAAGGGGGTGGGAGGAGGGGCCTCACACTTTTAAACAACGAGATCTTATGAGAACTCACTCACTATCATGAAAACAGCACCAAGAGAATGGTGCTAAACCGTTCATGAGAATTTCACCCCCACGATCCAATCACCTCCCACCAGGCCCCACCTCCAACATTGGAGGTAACAGTTTGACGTGAGATTTGGGCAGGGACAGAGATCCAAACCATATCAACAATGAAAGATGTCTAACTTATATTTATCTAGATCTATTATAGTCATCTAGAATTAGAATAGCATTTTGAAAAGTTTTATGTTTATTTTCTTAGGAGCAGTTCTATAAATTATATGTAATTAAATGGAATAATTATATATAATTGCTTATATGTAGGAAAAAACTGAAATATTCATTTTTTTTTTATTCATTTAATTTTTTTAAGTAGAGATGGGGTCTGCTGTTGCCAGGCTAGTCTCGAACTCCTGGGCTCAAGCAGTCCTCCCACCTCAGGCTTCCAAAATGCTGGGATTATAGGCGTGAGCCACCACACCCACCCTGTTTATATTTTAGAGTATGCAATCTGATAATTTTTATTTTCAATGAAATATCTATTATTTATTGATTACTTTTTCATATAAAAGTAAAATCATGTTCTTAGCAATAATTAAAGCTATACAGAGTTATTTAAGGAAAAGAATAAAAATTATTTCTTTCAGCATCCCCAGCACATGACTTAACAGCTCCATATGTATTTTCCAGAAATTTTCTGATAATTAATGAACAGATAATTATTTAATAACTACCTTAAATTTGTTCTCCACACTTCTGTTCTACTTTGTAAAAACAAAAGCTTTTTTCAGGACGTGGGAGGACTGAAATCAACCGTGACTGATACCAAGATCAAATTATCTGCTTTCTTTTCTTTTAACATTTGGTTGCTGTACTTTTTTTGTCCACCTTATACTTTCCACTTTTAAAAAAAGTATTTTGTTTCTGATGTGTCTCTTGAATAGATCTTGAATTAGGTTTTGCTGTGTCATATCATCTGAAAGGTTTATTTTAATAGGTAAATTTATATATTTATTAATATGCAGATACATTTGGTTTGGGTGGTATTACTTTATGTTTGGCTTTCAATTTTAAAGCCTATAAAAAATCTCCTTCTCCTCCTTTTTCCCCTCCTCACTCATCCCCTGACTTCTCTCCCTCATGTGTGTGTGTTCTGGCTTATGGTTTAGTTTTAGCCTTTTAACTCTACTATTCATTATTTATTTCTTTAGATGGCATCTATTAATCCCCACTGTGAGAAGTCATGAAATTGATATATTTCTTGTTCCTCCTCCCTTCCTTCCCTCTCCTCTAGCACCTGATTTTAGTAGATCGTATTGTCTTAGTGTTTGCCGTTATACCTTGAATACACTTATAGTATGACTTGTTAGCTTTAAATGATATTCTTTGACATTCCCCCACCCACCTCTAGCAATTAAAAAAATGAGGAAACCAGCTTACTTACTCTGCCTTCCACCTTCTTTTCCCTTTCTTCTTCCTGAAGGCTTTGTTGTATCATTTCTATCTTGTCACTGCATATAACATTTACATTCTCCTCTGTTACCCTACTTCTCGCTTTGGTTTTCAGCTCTAGACCTGTAATTATTAGATCCAGCGCTCATTACCAATTCACTGACTGCCCTTTGTCTCACTTCTCTTTTGATTGCCTGGAACTTGTCCTCTAGTTGAGTCCTCCAAAAAGACTCATAAGAACAATATTCCCTGATGAGTTCTTGCATGTTCTAGTTTATTGCCTAAACATTTCAACAGCCGTTTGACTATTAGATCATGCTTTCTTTCCTTGAGGATTTTTTTTAAGTGTAGCTCGACAATCTTCTAGGGTTAAATGTAGCTATGGAGAGATCTGAGGCCAACTTAATTTTTTTGGTAACTCGATCTTGAAAAGAATGTCTATTTTCCAGTTGTTGAGTACAGGGTTCTCCCTGTGTTCATCAGATCAGGCTTATAAAAGCGGTGTTCTAAACTTCCTAGTGAATGGGTAAAATGTTTCACGGAAACTTTTTCAGATGAAAAGAGTTATGTAGATGGATGGTGGTAATGGTTGCCCAACATTATGAATGTGCTTAATGCCAACTGAATTGCACACTTAAAAAATGGTTAAAATGGCAAATTTTGTTATGTGTATTTTATTACAGCAAAAAACCAAGACAGACCAGGTGTGGTGGTTCATGCCTGTAATCCTAGCACTTTGGGAGGCGAAGGCGGGTGGATCACTTGAGGTCAGGAGTTCGAGACTAGCCTGGCCAACATGGCGAAACTCTGTCTCTACCAAAAAATACAAAAATTAGCCAGCTATGGTGGCACACACCTGTAGTCCCAGCTACTCGGGAGGCTGAGGTGGCAGAATCGCTTGAACCTGGGAGGCGGAGGTTGCAGTGAGCTGAGATTATGCCACTGTGCTCCATCCTGGGTGACAGAGCGAGACTCCGTCTCAAAAAAAGAGAAAACAAACAAAATCTTCCTGGTTAAAAAACAAAAACCAGCCCAGGGTAATAGCACATGCTTATAGTCCTAGCTACTCAGGGGGCCAAGGCAAGAGGATGACTTGAGCCTAGGAGTTCAAGACCAGCCTGCACAACACAGTGAAACCTTGTCTTTAAAAAAAGAAAGAAGGAAAAAAACTTCCCGTTGAATTTTATGTTCTGTCTTTATTTTTAAACTTTATTCCTTATTATGGTACGTAATGGTTTTTGCCTTAGAGTATTATTTTGTCTACTATTAAAGCATATATGCCAGCTTTCTTATGATTAGTATTGCTTCTTATTTCTGTTTGCTTTCAGCTTCCTATGTCCTTATTTTTGTCTTATGTATGTCTCATAAATAGCATGTAGGGCCAGGCAGCAGTTGCTCATGACTGTAATCCTAGCACTTTGGGAGGCTGAGTTAGGAGACTCTTGAGCCCAGGATTTCAATACCAGCCTCGGCAACATAGCAAGACTCCATCTCTACAAAAAGTAAAAAAATTAGCTGAGCATGGGAGCACACATCTATAGTCTTAGCTATTGGGAGGCTGAGGCAGAAGGATAGCTGGAGCCCAGGAGTTCGAGGTTGCAGTGAGACCTGATAGCACCACTGCATCCAGCCTGGGTGAAAGAGTAAGACCTGCACTCTAGGTAGATAGATAGATAGGTGAGTGGGTAGATAAGTAGATAGGTAGGTAGGTAGATAGATAGATAGATAGATAGATAGATAGATAGATAGATAGATGTATTTTGTGTGGGTGTAGTTTCTTACATCCAGTTTGAGAATCTGTCTTTTAAGTGGTAAGTTTAATCTCATTTATGTTTACTCTAATTTTTGAAGCATTTGAATTTTTTTCTATTTTGTACATCCTGTTATTTACTGTGTTTTCTCTTTGCTTTTTTTTTTTAACCATCCATTGTACCAATCCTGTTTTCTTTTCTCTTTTTTCCCTTTTTTCTGTTTTTTTATCTTCTATTCTGATATTATTTATTCTTAGGTTTTTATCATATATATATATATATATATATATATATACCTCACTTAACAAAGTCTAAAGTTGTTAACATCTCCACAATACAGGAACCTTAGAATAATTTGACACCCTCTTCTACCTTACATGTGCGTTGTTATCCTCCGGCATTTTTTTTATTTATTTGTTTGTTTTGTTTATTTATTTATTGAGATGGAGTTTCACTCTTGTTGCCCAGGCTGGAGTGCAATGGCGCAACCTTGGCTCACCGCAACTTCCGCCTCCTGGGTTCAAGCAATTCTCCTGCCTCAGCCTCCCGAGTACCTGAGATTACAGGCATGCACCACCACACCCGGCTAATTTTGTATTTTTAGTAGAGATGGGGTTTCTCCATGTTGGTCAGGCTGGTCTCGAACTCCTGACCTTAGGTGATCCGCCCGCCTCAGCCTCCCAAAGTACTGGGATTACAGGCATGAGCCACCGTGCCCAGCCCTTATTTCTTTATTTGTACATCTCTAAAAGTAGTTGTTATGGTGGTTGTTAGTATTATAATTACAACTTTATATAATCATTTCCTGTTTAGATTTACCTATATATTTAGCAGTTTTCACCATCACTGCTTGTATTTTACTCCTTATTTCTGGATTCAGTTTTCTTTTTCCTGAAATACAATTTCCTTGTTTTGTGAGTGTGCGCGTATGTGTGTGTTTAGTGTTCGCAGTAAAGAATCATTACAATAAGTAAGCCATCTTTTTTTTTTCTTCTTTTAAATAATGGCTTGGTCAGAAAAAAAAAATTTTCATGCTTTCTTTTATTTTGTTGAAGGGTCGGCTATCAGTTTATCATTTATTTTTAGGTAATATCTTCCCTATAACTGGTTTTCATATTTTTATCTTTTTCTTTGGTGTTGTCCAGATTTCAGTACCATGTTTTGAGTGTATATTTAGTTTTATTTACTTTTCTGAATTTGTGTTTTGTGTCTTCCATGAATTCTGGAAAAAGTCTACATAATACTTTCAGATATTTTCTCTCCCATTTTTTGCGGTCTGTTTTCCAGCTACTCATACTAGAGATATGTTAGAGGTATTTATTCTGTTCCCTGTTACTTCATCTCACTTTCATATTTTTGTCTCTCTGTGTTGAATTCTAGATAATTTCTTCAGCTCTGTGTTTTAGTTCATTCTTTTATTTCCTCAGAGGTGTCTAATATTGTTTATTTCATCCACTTAATTTTTAATTTCAATGACTGTCTTTTTCATTTTTATTTTTTCTCACTTTTTCTTTCTTTCTTTCTTTTTTTTTTTTTCTTGAGACAGAGTCTTGCTCTTCGCCCAGGCTGGAGTGCAGTGTTGCAGTCTCAGCTCACTGCAACCTCCGTGTCCCGGGTTCAAGCCATTCTTCTGCCTCAGCTTCTTGAGTAGCTGGGACTACAGGCATGCGCACCACGCCTGGCTAATTTTTGTATTTTTTGTAGGGACAGGTTTTCACCATGTTGGCCAGGATGGTCTCAAACTCCTGACCTCAAGTGATCCGGCCACCTCCGCCTCCCGAAGTGCTGGGATTATAGGCATGAGCCACCGCACCTGGCCTCACTTTTTGTAATCTTTTGTTTTCAGTTCCTCCTTTATAGTTTTTATTATTTTAAATATACTTATTTAGTTGGCTTATTTCTAGTATCCAAAGTTCCTTTAGGTATGGTCCTGTTATTTATATCTTCTGATTCTCACTCCTAATGAATTGATTTTTCCCTTACATGTTTTATACTTTGGGACTGTGAGCTTTCATTAACAGAGCTTTGTCTCTTGAATCCTGGCAGCCAGGATGGAAGGTGTACACCTCTACAGTGGTTTTTCAGTTTTTCTGTTTTAGAAATATCACAAACTTGGAGCTAATATTGAGTTAATTTCTCAGCTTGGAAGTTCCTAGACCATGTAGATAGGGTAAATTCAAACTCCAAAGCTGCCTGAGGACAGCTATGATCACTGTCACAGCTGCATAGTGATCCGTTTGACCATAAGATTTGCGACCAAAAAAAGGATTTTATCAACTATAGCACCTTCATCTCAAGAGACCAGCAGCTACCTAAGTACGTAGGCTCTGCAGCCCCTTTTCCCACTTTGGATGTGACTTTCACCTTTGAGAGCCTTGGGTGTCTGTAAGGTCACTTTGATACATAGAAGCTACATCCCCTTTCTTCCAACAATCTTTTATTCTGTACTAGTGACCCCAGCCCAGATGCAGTCCCACACAACAAAGGCAGCATACACATTACTCATCTGTGCTAACTATCCTGTTTCTAAGGAAACCGTGCAGCAGGAAACCACGGTCATGAAACCAAGGTCATTCTCGGGATGGTGTTAACCCTTTACTCACAGGTTCACAAGTTGAAAACAACTTAAGGTTTACTATGGGGTCCTCAGTTCTAACTTCCCACTCTGCATAGACCCAAGGCTTTGCATCTGCTCTGCCTGAACATTAAAATCACTGTGTTACCAAGACTGACCATTCCCAATTCCTTTCACCAAGGGTAGCCATAATGTTACCCTTTCTTTTTGGTCCTGTTAATTTCTTTTATTTCTTTGAGAGTTCAGTTCAGCTTGGGATCTGAAAGGATGTTGCTCTGTCTTACCAAGCATTTGTAGATGCAGGCATGCATCACTTAATTATGAGGATACGTTCTAAGAAATGCATAATTGAGTGATTTCATCATTGTGCAAACACCATAGAGTGTACTTACACAAACCTAGATGGTATAGCCTATTCATATCTAGGCTATATGGTAGATATATTGCTCCTAGGCTACAAACCTGTACAGCATGTGACTATACTGAATACTGTAGGCAGTTGTTACACAATGGTAAGTATTTGTGTATCTACACCCATCTAAACATAGAAAAGGTACAGTAAAATTATGGTATAAAAGATTTAAAATGGTATGCTTTATAGGGAACTTACCATGAATGGAGCTTGCAGGACTGGAAGTTTCTCCGGTTGAGTCAATGAGTGAGTGGTAAGTGAATGTGAAGGTCTAGGACATTACTGTACACTATGATAGACTTTGGAAACAGTGTACACTTAGGCTACTCTAAATTTATGTAAAATATTTTTTTAAAAAAATAAAGTAACCTTAGCTTACCGTAGCTTTCTTGGCCGGGCACGGTGGCTCACGCTTGTAATCCCAACACTTTGGGAGGCTGAGGCAGGCGGATGACGAGGTCAGGAGTTCCAGACCAGCCTGGACAACATAGTGAAACCCCATTTCTACTAAAAACACAAAAAAATTAGCTGGGTGTGGTGGCACATGGCTGTAATCCCAGCTACTTGGGAGGTTGAGGCAGGAGAATTGCTTGAACCCGGGAGGCGGAGGTTGCGGTGAGCCGAGATCCCGCCACTGCACTCCAGCCTGGGCGACAGAGCAAGACTCTGTCTTGAAAAAAATTAAAAAAAACTTTTCTTACTTTATAAACTTCTAATTAAAAAAAAAATTGACTTTTTTGTAATAACAGCTTAAAACACAAGCACATTGTATAGTGGTATGAAAATATTTTATTTCTTTATATCCTTCTTTTATATGCTTTTTTCTATTTAAAAAAATTTTTTTGGCCAGGTGCAATGACTCATGCCTGTAATCCCAGCACTTTGGGAGGCCAAGGCGAGCAGATCACCTGAAGTCAGGAGTTCAAGACCATCCTGGCCAACATGGTGAAACCTTGTCTCTACTAAAAATACGAAATTATCTGGTCATGGTGGCACATGTCTGTAGTCCCAGCTACTTGGGAAGCTGAGGCAGGAGAATCGCTTGAACCCGGGAGGCAGAGGTTGTAGTGAGCCAAGATCGTACCATTGCATTTCAGCCTGGGCGACAAGAGAAAGCTCTGTCTCCAAAAAAAAAAAAAAAGGTGAAAAATTTTTGTTTTTTGTTTTTTTTTGAGACAGGGTCTTGCTCTTGTCGCCCAGGCTGAGTGCAGTGGCACCATCATGGCTCACTGCAGCCTCAACCTCCCGGCCTCAAGCAGCTCTCTCACTTCAGCCTAAGGAGTAGCTGGGACCACAGGCACATACCACCAAGTCTGGCTAATTTTTATTTATTTATTTATTTATTTATTTTGTAGAGGTGGGGTCTTGTTATGTTGCCTGTGCTTGTCTCAAACTCCTGGGCTCAAGCGATCCACCCGCCTTGGCCTCCCACAGTGCTGGAATTACAAGATTGTGCCACCACACCCAGGCTTTTTTCACTTTTTAAACTTTTTTGTTAAAAACTAAGACACACACCTAGGCCTACACAGCGTCAGGGTAATCAATATCACTGTCTTCCACCTTGAAACATCTTGTCCCACTGAAAGGTCTTCAAGAGCAATAACACACATGAAGATGTCATCTCCTGTAACAATGCCTTCTTCTGGATGCCTCCTGAAGGACTTGCCTGAGGCTGTTTCACAGTTTATTTTTTATAAGTAAAAGCAGTACACTCTAAAATAACAATAAAAAATATAGCATAGTAAATACATAAACCAGTAACATAGTAGTTTATTATCATCAAGTATTATATACAGTACATAATTGTATTGCTATACTTCTATACAACTGACAGTAGATTGGTTTACACCAGCATCACCACAAACACATGAGTAATTTGTTGCACTATGGCATTATGATGCCTATGATATCACTAAGGTGAAAGGATTTTTTCAGCTCCATTATAATCATATGGGACTGCCATCATATATGTGGTCCGTTGTGACTGAAACATCATCCCATGCATGACTGTACTTTTAGCATTTCTAGGTGTTTGTAGCAGGAGATTTTCAAATTATCCCATTCAAAATACTACATTAGAAGAAACTTTGAAACAACTTAAAGAAAACAAAATTTAAATTTCCTCCCTGCCCCCTTGCAATAAAGAAACTGCTTAACCTGAATTCAAATTGTGATTCCACCTTTTTTTTTTTTTTGAGATGGAGTCTCACTCTGTCGCCAGGCTGGAGTGCAGTGGTGTGATCTCGGCTCACTGCAACCTCCACCTCCCAGGTTCAAGTGATTCTCCTGCCTCAGCCTCCTGAGTAGCTGGAACTACAGGCACGTGCCACCATGCCCAGCTAATTTTTTTGTATTTTTAGTAGAGATGGGGTTTTACCATGTTGGCCAGGATGGTCTCAATCTCTTGACCTCATGATCCGCCCACCTGGCCTCCCAAAGTGCTTCAATTACAGGCGTGAGCCACCATGCCCAGCAGACTCCACCTTTTCTTAGCAGTATAATCTTTGGCAAGGTACTTGTTCTCCCTGAACTTTCTGCAAGCATTATATGGTGGTATTAATATCTCTTTTGAGGTGCCGTTTTGAGATTTAGTTATTGTCAGTGGTACATTTCAAACACCCTAGAATGTTTTACGAAGTTCTTCTAATTAAGCCCCTGCCTAGGTCTTCAGCCTCCCCTCACCATTTCCCAGAAATAAACCAGCATAGGCTGGGTGCGGTGGCTCACGCTTGTAATCCCAGCACTTTGGGAGGCCGAGGTAGGTGGATCACCTGAGATCAGGAGTTCAAGACCAGCCTGACCAACATAGTGAAACCCCATCTCTACTAAAAATATAAAAATTAGCCAGGCATGGTGGCACATGCCTGTAATCCCAGCTGCTTTGGAGTCTGAGGCAGGAGAATCGCATGAACCCAGGAGGCGGAGGTTGTAGTGAGCCAAGATCGCACCATTGCACTCCAGCCTAGGCAGTAGAGTGAGACTCCGTCTCAAACAAACAAACAAACAAAAGAAATAAATAAACCAGCATAGTAAACTACTTATAAGTTTCTTAATTATTCTTGTTCTCTGTAGCTTTCAATCCTTTATACATAGTGTTCCTTTTTTTTAAATACTGTCTTCCCCTTGTTCATCTTCCACCTAACTGTTCTTACTAATCCTTCGTGATTAGCTTAGATATCAATTTCTCCAGGAAATTGTCCCCACTGATCCCCAAGCCTGGGTTAGGTTCCCGGGAGTCCTGTGTGCCTTCTGTAACACCTTGTGTTTTCCTATCATAGCTCTCAGCAGCCTGTTTACTTGTCTGAACATTACTTGAGAGGAAGAATTTTTGGCTGTTTTATTCACTATTGTCTCCCCAGCTCCTAACAAAGAACCTGGCACACAGCTCAATACATGGTAGCTATTATTATTATCAGCACCTTCATCTATCATAATTCTCAAATGTCTGGTTGTTGCATAAATAACTCTTAAGTATGCCAAGAAGCTTAGAGTTAAGTTACAAGACTGACAAGGGCATGCATTGTTTCAGAGCCATGTTTGGGACCTTTGTTTTTCACTTATTCAATCATTTTCCCTTTTTATACTAGGAACTGACCCAGGAGTGTGATGAAAAGAAATCCCAGTATGATAGCTGTGCAGCAGGCCTCGAAAGCAATCGGTCCAAATTAGAACAGGTAAGAAGAGAGTTTTTATTTTAACAATTTAGCAAAAACTACCTGTGTGTACACCTGTAGTCCCAGCTACTCTGGAGGCTGAAGCAGGAGGATTGCTTGAGCCTAGGAGTTTGAGGCTACAGTGAGCTATGATCACACCACTGCATTCTAGCCTGGGCCACAGAGCAAGACTCTCTCTCTAAAAAAAATGTTTTAAATACTGCCCGTGTACGCACATTTTCACTACATCAATGTCAAAAGATTCCCAAATCTTTATCATCATCTCCTAAGCTCCAGAGATCTTTATTTCTTTAATTTGTACACACTTAATTTCCCATCTGTACCACTCCCAGCAAAGTACAAGGCTCATTATCTGCTGCCTGGCCTCCCACAGTAAACTCTTACCTATTCTCTTGCTTCTACTCTTGCTCTCCTAAGGTTTATTCTTCATAGGGAAGCCTAAGAAACCTGTTTAAAATTTTTGCCACCCTTCATTGGCTTCCTGTTGCACTTAAAATAAAATCTAACCACCAAACTATGGTCTACAAGGCCCCACCTGCCTTATGAACTTCATGTCCATGTGCTCTACTCCTCATCCATGGAGCTTCAGCCACTCTGACCTTCTTCCTGAGCTTTAAACAGGCCAAGCTTGTTTTCACTTTGGGATTTTGCATGTACTCTTCCCTTCTGCGTGATATACTCTGCTCCTAACTCTTCGCCCTCCCTTCTCCTTTTCATCACTAGGTCTCAGCCTTAGTGTCACTGCCTTTCAGAGATCTCTGATCACCTGATGTTACCCACTCTTCTTCCCAACCTGGCCCACCCAGTCCCTCTATCACATTCTACTGATGGATTTCCTTCATAGCGCTTATCCCCATCTCAAATATCCTTCATTATGTTTCCTTGTTTATGTTGGTTTCTTCTACTTCAGTGAAAGCAGGGAACCTGCCTGTTCACTTCTGTGTCCTCAGCACTTAGAACAGTGCTGGACACACAGTAGGTACTTAATAAATGTATGATTGGGCCAGATGCAGTCGCTCATGCCTGTAATCCCAGCACTTTGGGAGTCCAGGGCGGGAGGATCACTTGAGGCTAGGAGTTCGAGATCAGCCTGGCCAACCCGGTGAAACCCTGTCTCTACTAAAAATACAAAAATTAGCCAGGCGTGGTGGCACGTGCCTGTAGTCTCAGCTCCTCAGGAGGCTGAGGCACGAGAATCTCTTGAACCTGCGAGGAGGAGGTTGCAGTGAGCCAAGACTGCACCACTGCACTCCATCCTGAGTGACAGAGTGAGACTCTGTCTCAAAAAATACAATTGAACTTGCAGGTTATAGAGTGATATGTGTATTCTCTAGAAAAAGATTATCTCTTATTGTGCTAGAATAAACAAAGTTAAAATTGCAGAAGAGGAAATGACTCTGATGGTAGTCCTTTGTTGTACATCTAAAGTCATCGTCGCCATATCTGTCTCATTCTTTCGATAATGTCACCTATCTAAAATTATATATTATAGGAAGTTAGAAGACTCCGTGAAGAATGTCTTCAAGAAGAAAGTAGATACCATTATACAAATTGTATGATTAAGGTAAGACAAAGTAGATCAAAAACATTTCTGAGTTTTTTCTATATCAAAGTCTTCCCTAAAACTGAAGTCTTTCTATTTAGAACCTAGAAGTTCAACTTCGTCGTGCTACTGATGAGATGAAGGCATATATCTCTTCTGATCAACAAGAAAAAAGAAAGGCAATTAGGCAAGTGATTTTGTTGTTTTATATTGAGATACTTAATATTTTCACCAATAAAAGTTTTATAAATAAGATAGAATTATACAAATTTAGCATATTTAAGTAAGTAGACACTAAGATATTATTTAATACTAAATCTTACTAAACATCTAGATATTTTAGCCCTGCTAAGTAGGAATACATATGATTTTATTTCTTGCTTGCTTACTTTTTGATTGTGATAAAATATATAAAATTTGCCACTTTACCCATTTTTAAGTGTACAGTTCATTGGCATTGATTACATTCACAATATTGTACAGCCATCACCACTGTATATTTACAAAATGTTTTCATCATCCCAAACAAAAACTCTTGTAACCATTAAGCAATAACTCTTCATTCCCCGCCACCCAGGAATATATATAATTTCATAATTGCTTTGTCATAAGCAGTAAAGTTGGTCTCTTTTTAAAGTCCCACATGGCCTAGACTCTAGTCATCTGCCTGCTAATTGTGCAGTGTGATGACTGCATTTTAGCTGGAAATTGTGTGATTGCAGTGTACCAGTCTTCAAGAAGGATATGTAAATACTGCTTAGTCCTTATATGGTGCTTTTTTTGCAATCCCAGCTTGTGGCGTACTGTAATAAATCAAATCCTGCCTAAAAAAAAATACATTTATGGTTGAATTGCTAGGTGTGATAAAATGCAATCATTGAACAACATAAGCCTTCTTTGCTCCTCATCACAATTCAAATATTAAATGTTTTGCTATTACTATTCAGTAAAAATTCAGATAAAATGTAGCACTCACGTTTATTCTAGATTGCATTGAGATTTTGAGTGGCATGTACATTAATGTTATAAAAAGAGGCCGGGCATGGTGGTGGGCGCCCGTAGTCCCAGCTACTTAGGAGGCCGAGGCGTGGGAATCGCTTGAACCCGGGGAGCAGGGGCTGCAGTAAGCCGAAATCATGCCACTGCGTTCCAGCCTGAGCGACAAAGGGAGACTCTGTCTTTAAAAAAAAAAAAAAAAAAAATCTAAGAAATAGAGTGTCTTGCAGAATCTGAATTTTTTTTCAATGTAATGCACTAGAATGCAAGCCAGACTGAAAATACTGTATAGAGCAGTGTTTTTTCTAATACTCTAACATATTAAACTAAAAATGTACTTATTCATATTCTTTCATTGTATGTAAACTTTGTTCATATAAATCTATATGGCCAATGATAAGAAATGAGAAAAGTTAAATTTGTTCTTAAAAAATAAAAATTTTTATAAATTAAGTTCTATTTCTTCCAAAGTTATCGATATAAATAGCAAAGAAGGAAATAATTGCTCTTGAACTATTCATTTTCTGATCTGTCTTCTAGCCAGATTTTTTTTTTTTTGAGACGGAGTCTTGCTCTGTCACCCAGGCTGGAGTGCAGTGGCACGATCTCGGCTCACTGCAATCTCCGCCTCCCAGGTTCAAACATATTCTCCTGCCTCAGCCTCCCAAGTAGCTGGGATTACAGGCACACGCCACTGTGTTTGGCTAATTTTTGTTATTTGTATTTTTGTAGTTTATATTTTTGTATTTTTGTAGAAATGGGGTTTCACCATGTTAGCCAGGTTGGTCTCAAACTCCTGACCTCAAGTGAACCACCCTCCTCAGCCTCCCAGAGTGCTGGGATTACAGGCATGAGCCACCACGCCCTACTGAAAATGAGGATTCATCAAGACTAATTGCAAAATTTTCCTTTACTTAGACTGCTGTATTTTCTCTTTTTATGGCTTAGGATTTCTTGGAGTCCCAATTTTATATTGTTTAATTTTTTCTTAAATACTGCAGCGTAGCTTCACACACAAAAACAGTCTCTTCTTTGTTCTGTGTTCCTTTACCCCTCGTCCTTCAGTCTTTTTTTTTTTTTTTTTTTTTTTTGAGACGGAGTCTCACTCTGTTGCCCAGGCTGGAGTGCAGTGGCGTGATCTCAGCTCACTGCAACCTCCGCCTCCTGGGTTCACGCCATTCTCCTGCCTCAGCCTCCTGAGTAGCTGGGACTACAGGTGCCCGCCACCACGCCTGGCTAAATTTTTTGAATTTTTAGTAGAGACAGGGTTTCACCGTGTTAGCCAGGATGGTCTCGATCTCCTGACCTCGTGAGCCACCGCGCCCAGCCCCAGCCTTCAGTCTTTATCCTTAACATGTCACCTGCTTTAAATCTCACATTTTGTCTTAAATAGTATTGAAATATAATTTTGTTTACAAATAAAATACAATGTTATTATGTTTTTAATTTTTACATTAAAATTTTTTTTTTAGCTTACAAAAGAAATACTTGTAAAAACAACAGTAACCATTATGAAGTAGTGTGCACAGAAGTTGAATGCTGTCCATTATTGCCATGTCTCAGAAATGTCTACTGTTAATACTTTGGTGTACATTAAGCCATATTCTTTTCCCATGCGTTTGCTGATACATCTGTATATATGTGTGTTAGTTAATGCATGGGAAATGTTATATGTATGTGTGTATACACACACGTATACATACATATGTATATAAAAATAAGATTAAACTGCTCCTGGGTGTAGTGGCTCACACCTGTAATCCTAGCATTTGGGAAGCTGAGATGAGCCAATTGCTTGAGCCCCAGAGTTCAAGACCAGCCTGGGCAACATGGCAAAACCCTGTGTCTACCAAAAAAATACAAAAAAATTAGCCCAATATGGCGACACATGTCTGTAATCCCAGTATCTGGGAGGCTAAAGTGGGAGATTCACTTGGGCCAGGGAGGTGGAGGCTACAATGAGGTGTGATCATGCCACTGCACTCCAACCTGGGCAACAGAGTGAGACCTTGTCTCAAAGGAAAAAAAAAAGATTAAACTACATATGCTGTTTTTCTCTTGATCTAGAATATTTTCCACTTCAGTATTTATAGATTTACCTCATTCTTTTGTATAACTCCTTATTATTTGTTTCAATAGATATGCCATAATTTGCTTAAACATTTTCCCATCTATAGACATTTAGTTTGTTTGCATATTTTCACTATTATAAGCATTGATGAAATAAATAGTCTGCTTTTATGTTTATTTAAGTTATGGGATATTTTTGTAGGATGACTTCCTAGAAGTAGAATTGCAAGATTACATGCTACTTAATGTTTATTTAAAATGTATATCCTTTCTCCTTTCTACAAACCTCTTCAAAAACAATGTGTAATTTAAGCAGATGGGTTGCCATTGTTTTGAGGGTAGATTAACCAGAAATAGTATTTAACATTTTAATTATCTTAATTTCCTATTAAATGTTTTGCTTTCTTTTTTTTCCTTAAATTACTATTTACTTGAAGAACTAACTAAAGATGGGGAAAGACAAAGAATTTTATAATGGGTTTCATTCTGACTCCAGTACCCTAAACTATATTGCCTAGTGTATTTTAGATAGATATATTAATTTATAATTCACTTGTATGATCAAATCATTTGAAGTAAATTGAAAGTAAATCATTATGTTGACTCCCTAGGGAACAGTATACCAAAAATACTGCTGAACAAGAAAACCTTGGAAAGGTAAGAATTATTATTTATTTTTTTAAATGTGTCTAACTGATTCAGGCTTTCAGTACTGTACATGGTTTATGACTGTCATTGTTTTCAAAAGGTCATAGTACAGTTTTTGAGGGGAAATTGTTCATTCATTTTAAAGATGGAAGACTTCCTTAAGAATTTAGTTTTACAGAAATAAAGTCACGATGGATTTTTGAAAGAAAAAATTATCTATTTTTAAATCACAGAGAGTTCATGATAATGTTCTGCGTTACAGTTTTCAGATTATCCTCAGGCTGGGCGCGGTGGCTCACGCCTGTAATCCCAGCACTTTGGAAGGCCAAGGCCAGTGGATCAGTTGAGGTCAGGAACTCAAGACCAGCCTGGCCAAAATGGTGAAACCCCGTCTCTATGAAAAATACAAAAATTAGCCAGGCGTGGTGGCAGGCGCCTGTAATCCCAGCTACTCTGGAGCCTGAGGCAGGAGAATCACTTGAACCAGGGAGGCAAAGGTTGCAGTGAGCCGAGATTGCGCCATTGCACTCTAGCCTGGGTGACAGAGCGATACTCCATCTCAAAAAAAAAAAAAAAAAAAATTATTCTCAGATATCTCTTTATGAGATAGGTGTAAATTTATTCATTTACTTTATTTAATAAACACAAAGTTCTAAGCCCTAGTCTAAGCGCTTTACAAACATTGATTTATTTAATACAAACAACTGAAAAACCTTGCTTGAGATGCTCAGCTCCCTCCTGCCAGAGTTATCTGATGGCAACTGAAATAGGACTGTATAATTATTTTTCTTAGTTCTCTGAGCCACTCCTAGAAGTGGTAGAGAGTAAGTTATAGCCTTGACCATCAGGACTTAAATGACCAACTGATTAGTTAGTCTAGCTGACTTCATAAAGCAACCAATTTAACAAAGACACCAGCTTTGCATTCTTAGGAGAAAAAAAGAAAAAACGTATACTTACTAATAATTCAGAGGAAAGATGACCAGTCATCAAGTGACTTGGCTTCACTCTTAGGCTTGTGATTCTAAACAAGCCCTCTAATCACTTTAGAGTTCATTTCCTCATATTTAAACTGAAGTACGTAGATGAGAAATTTAAAAATTAAATTACCTAGATTGATTTAGATGAGTTATAAGATCATCTTCATTGATTTTAAGTCTATATTGCATAATGAAGACTAACTGTGTTTCACTATACAACATTTTTTCTGTTTCTTCAGTTTCACTATTGAAAATAATGTTTTCTGGCCAGGCAAAGTGACCCATACCTATTTGTAATCCCAGCATTTTGGGAGGCTGAGGTGGGAGGATTGTTTGAACCTGGGAGTTTGAGATCAGCCTGGGCAACATGGCAAGACCCCATCTCTACAAAAAATACAAAAATTAGCCAGGCAAGGTGGCATGCACCTGTAGTTGCAGCTACTCTGGAGGCTAAGGTGGGAGGATTGCTTCAGCCTGGGGAGGCAATGCTGCAGTGAGCCGAGATCATGCCACTGCACTCCAGCCAGCCTGGGTGACAGAGTGAAAAAAAAAAGTTTCCTACCACTATCATACCAAAATATCATGCCAAAAATAATTTAACAATAATTATGTTGTTAAACAATAACAATTGGATGTTAACATCCGATACCTAGTGTTCAAAATCTTTTTCCTTTTTTTTTCGAGACAGAGTCTCACTCTGTCACCTAGGCTGGCTGGAGTGCAGTGGCACGATCTCGGCTCACTGCAGCCTTGGCCTCCCCACGCTCAAGCGATCCTCCCACCTCAGCCTCCTGAATAGCTGGGACTACAGGAGCATGCCACCATGCCCAGCTAATTTTTGTATTTTTTTTTTTTTTGTAGAGACGGGGTTTCGCCATATTGCCCAGGCTCTTAATCTCCTGGGCTCAAGCGATCCTCCCACCTTGGCCTCCCAAAGTGTGGGATTACAGGCACGAGCCACGACACCTGGACTTCGTATTAGGCTTTCTTTTTTTTTTTTTTTTTTTTTGGCAATATATTAGGGAAGGGTCTCACTCTGTTACCCAGGCTGGAGTGCAGTGGTGCAATCTCAGCTCACTGCATCCTCTGCCTCCCAGGCTCAAGCGATCCTCCCGCCTCAGCGGACTACAGGAGTGCTACTTGGGAGGTGGAGGCAGGAGCTAGTTTTTTTGGAGAACTAGAAAGGCAAACAGTTTGACTTAGTGTTGGATTTAGTAGAGCTCTTGATCTCCTGACCTCATGATCTGCCCACCTCAGCCTCCCAAAGTGCTAGGATTACAGACATGAGCCACCTCGTCTGGCCTTAGTTAACTTTTATAATCTTAGTTTTGGTACATTATAGAGTATGTGGTTTAGCTAACTATTTTTTATCTACTGTAGAAAACATACCATATTCCTCCGACTATAGCAATAGAAATAAACCCCTGTAACTGAGATTTAATTATTCTTGTTTTTTTTTAATGATAGAAACCACGCCTGGCTAATTTTTTTGTATTTTTTGTAGAGATGGGGTTTCGCCATGTTGCCCAGGCTGGTCTCAAACTCCTGAGCCCAAGCAATCCATCCACCTTGGCCTCCCAAAGTGCTGGGATTACAGGCACAAGCCACTGCGCCCAGCCTTCTTACTAGGTTTTCTAAGTTTGTAGCATCATAGGTAGGGGTTGTTTAGCTGCAAGTTTTCTTTTAAAATACTGACTATATATGGATGTCTAATTTCATTGTTCAAATATTCTGAAACCTGTAAATGATTATATATTTATTGAAGCTTGTCCATTCTTAAAATACAAATGAAAAAATGTGGCTTCATTTCCGTCTTAATATGTATTTGTACAGTTTAGCTACTGGTATGACTCAATACATTGGTGATGGCAAAGTTATTCACTCTTATTTACATTTTCCTGGCTTGAATCATTATTAAAAACATATGTGTGTCTATCTATGCTTGTACTTGAAAGATGAATTAGCTCCTAGAAACCTATAAGTAAACTTAAGAAAACAAATGGTATAGAAAACAATGGAGTAATTGGTAAATAAAGGTGATATGTTCCTTACTTTAAAAAAAAAAAAAAAAAACTTGGCTGGGCGCAGTGGCTCACGACTATAACCCAGCACTTTGGGAGGCCAAGGCAGGCAGATCACTTGAGGTCAGGAGTTTGAGACCAGTCTGGCCAACATGGTGAAACCTCATCTCTACTAATAATACAAAAATTAGCCAGGCGTGGTGGCATGTGCCTGTGATCCTAGCTACTCGGGAGGCTGAGGCATGAGAATCACTTGAACCCAGAGGTTGCAGTGAGCCAAGGTCACGCCACTGCACTCCAGCCTGTGCGACACAGTGAAACTGTGTCTTAAAAAAAAAAAAAAGCATCCCAGGTGCAGTGGCTCATGCCTGTAATCCCAGCACTTTGGGAGGCCAAGGTGGGTGGGTCACCTGAGGTCAGGAGTTCAAGACCAGCCTGGCCAACATAGTGAAACCCCTTCTCTACTAAAAATACAAAAAACTAGCTGGCATGGTGGCAGGCACCTGTAATCCCAGCTACTCAGGAGGCTGAGGCAGGAGAATTGCTTGAACCCAGGAGGTGGAGGTTGCAGTGAGCAGAGATCACACCATTGCACTCCAGCCTGGGAAACAAGAGCAAAACTCCATCTCAAAGAAAAAAAAAAATGATCGCCTTTATTATGGAGATTTTCAAAACTATATTTTAATCAATCCATATATATCCATCATCCAACTCTAATCATTAAATTCGTGGCCAGCCTTGTTTTGTCTATAATCTCATCCAGTACCTGCCCCAAATTTTTTTTCTAAATTATTTTTAAGCACATCGCAGACTTATTATTTTATCTCATCACATTTCAGTATGTACCATAAACACTCTTTTTGAACATAACCACAATACCATTATCCTACCGAAAAGAATTTAAAATAATTACGTAACATCCAATACCCAATGTTCAAACTTCACTATGATTTATTTGTTTGAATCAGGATCCTAATAAGAGTCCATACATTGTTATTAGCTTATATATCTCTTAAGTCTCTCTTTCTCCAGGTTACTCCCCCATTACATCATTTTTTCCTTACAATTTATTTGTTGAAAAGAAAAAAAAAACGGTAATTTGTCCTAGTGGGTTTTCAACATTTTGAACTTTGCTGTTGGTAACCCTTTGGTGTCAATTAGCATGTTCTTCTGTCCCCAGTATATCTTGTGAATTGGTAGTTAGATCTAGAAGCTTGATTAAATATGTTTTGATATTTGGCAAGAATACTTCATAGATGGTGGTATGTGCTTCTATCAGGAGGCTTTCTTCTTATGATGTAGACAGCCATTGATAATCATTTCCTAGATCCTTAATTCATTAGAAGTTGCACAGTGGTAACATTCTGATTATGTCATTCATTCTTCATTTATTGACTGGAATAATTCTGTAAAGAGCAACTTCTCCTTATCTTCTGTTTACTTACCCTGAGTTACATTCATATAAGAAAGGTACAATAACTGCTTGATTCACTATTTACTGGTTTTCAAAATGATGAGTTGGTTCTTTATCATCCTTCAAAAGTAATCTTATGACTTTTAGATTGAACATATTTGATATGTTTCAATCTATTGTGATTATTAGTCCCATTCGTACTCAAATTTGGCCAGTGGAAGCCTCTTGAAGTCAGCTTTTGAATCCTTTTGAAAAAATCCTAGTAGACTTTGATGGCTTCTTTGTTTTCTGGTGTGACAAAATGTTCTAATTTCATACTGTACATTTTCTGTCTCAAACCTGAAATTAGCCATTTCTCTAAAAAGTGTTCACCTGTGATTTGTGAATAAATGACCATTATATCAAAGAAAATAAATAAAAAATAAAAGGAAGCCTTCTTGAAGCTGATTCCTCCATTTACTGGGAGAATAGTGAATTCTGTGTACCTTATTTCACTTATGGGATGACACACCATACTTAAAAGGAAAAAAAGAAATAATTTTCATATTTGAAAGCACATATTTGAATCAAATTATAAACATTCATTTGTATAATATTTTAACTAGAGATTTTTGGATTTGTAAGATTTTATATGATTGTCAAAATTGACTTTTTTTTTTTTGAGATAGAGACTCAAAATTTATCAAGTATATTTAAGCAAGTGAACCAATGACTAGCTCATTCCCCAAATGTCAGACTGTATCATTTAAGAAGCAAAGCTTCTTAATCCTCAAACTTCTAGAGTAGATCTAAATTTTCAAGGCAAACAGAACAAACCCAGCCTTTCAAAGTGATGATAGTCTAAGCCCTCTAAGCCAATATAAACTGGACATCCATAGACCTCCTCAGGCCAACTGAGTTTCCCCCCTTCTATACCACCATCTCCTCCTTTAAAGAACAATGAAATCAGTGATTAGTAATTTTTGTACATTGCAACTGTAAACAAATGTAAATGATAATAAGATTTAAAATATATACATACTAACATCAGTTGTATTCATAAAGTTAAAGGTTTCAAACACACATGGTTATGAAGCAAATTAAATTTAATATTTCTGACACAGACAGTGCCCACATCCTGTCTTTGGTTCTTTAAATAACTTTTATAGGTTGTTAGGATTTTTTGACAAGGAAATTATTCCAATGATATAAGAAAAGTTACAGGTTAAGTAGTGCCTTAATTTAAAATCGTGTGCAGAAGTCTTAAAATTCTTGGTCTGCCTTAATGGCCTTTCTAAATACTTTTTAGTTTATAAGGATAAAATATTTGTTGTAAGATACATTATTTGTAACATAAACTTAAATAGATGTATTAATATGCCAGGTATTGCATCAAAAAATTTACTGGTTATATTTATATTTTTAAAATTCTGTGTTGTTTTCTATTCCTGTTTGCTGTTAACTTTGCTTTCATTATGCATAGCTGGGTGGGCAGTATTTAATGGGTGGTTTGACTCTGGTCCTCAGCTTAGTTAATCCTCTTATTTAGGCAAGTACCAACTACCAGCATTCTCATTTGTGTCTCAGATCAACTAGTATATTGACCGTATGTTAAAAGAGGAAAGGATGAGGTTGTTCCTTTGCACTCTGCCTCTGTGTCTCTGCTTGCTTTTCTGTCCCTCTTGGTGATTTTCTCACACTCGGTGTCGGTACAGATATTTCCAACACACTGCATTTCGTTCTATGTGCACTTTCACCTTCTCTACCAAAATGTCAACTGTAGTTGTCTCTAGCACATGGGATTATGAATGAATTCCTTTCTTTTCTTTTTCTTCTCTTCTTCTTCTTCTTCTTTTTTTTTTTTTTTTTTTTTTTTTTTTTGAGACAGTCTCACTCGTCACCTGGGCTGGAGTGTAATGGCATGGTCACAGCTCACTGCAGCCTTGAGTTCCCAGGCTCAAGTGATCTTCTTGCCTCGGCCTCCTGAGTAGCTGGGACCACAGGCATGTGCCACCATACACAACTAATTAAAAAAAAATTTTTTTTTTGTAGAGACAGGGGCGTCTCACTTTGTTGCCCAGGCTGGATTCTCTCTCTCTTTTTTCCTACCGTGTCACTTATTGTCTCTGACTTTGTGTCTACTCTTGCTTTCAGTCACCCTTCCTCAATTTGCCATAATATAGAACTAAAGTATATTTTTGTAATTTATTGAAGATTCTTTTATTCCTGTTTAAAATTTTAGAGTCAATGAGTAAAACAGTTTTGGCAGGTGGACCATCTAAGATGTTAGTAACAAAAACAATTCTAAGAAGGATTTTGGCTTATTTAATAGTGTACTATTTTCGTAATCACTGGGCCTGCTCTCTGAAGTATATGTGCATACAATTTGATTTATTTGGACATAAATAGAGTATACACTGTTTCAGGATAAGATAGAATATAACATTTAATAACAAGGATATATATAATACATGATAATTTATCAAGTATTTCAATATCTATTATGTCACTTGAAAACATAATCTTACCAAGTAAATACTTTTATTTTCCCCTATTATTAGCCTTGGTTTGGTTGTTTTGTTTTGTTTTGTTTTGTTTTGTTTTTAAGAGACAGGATCTCGCTCTGTTGCCCAGGCTGGAGTGCAGTGGTGAGAGCATAGCTCACTGCAGCCTCAAATTCCTGGCTCAAGTGACCCTTCCACCTCAGCCTCCCAACTAGCTAGGACTACAGGCATGTGCCACCACCATGCCCAGATAATTTTTTAATTTTTATTTTTGTAGAGACAGAGTATCATGTTACCCAGGCAGGCCTTGAACTCCCCAGCTCAAGCAATCCTCCTGCCTTGGCCTCCCAAAGTGCTGGAATTACAGGTGTGAGTCACCGTGCCCAGCCCCCAGCCTCCTATTATTCACCTTAATTTTTTTTTTTTTCCAGAGACGGAATCTCACTCTGTTGCCCAGGCTGGAGTGCAGTGGCACAATCTTGGCTCACTCTGCCTTCCAGGTTCAAGCAATTCTCCTGCCTCAGCCTTCTGAGTAGCTGGAATTACAGGCACATGCCACCATGTCCGGCTAATTTTTGTATTTCATATTTTTGTATTTTTAGTACAGATGGGATTTCACCATGTTGGCCAGGCTGGTCTCGAACTCCTGACTTCAGGTGATCTGCCCACCTATATAGCATGAGTCCTGTTTTCCACTTGAAACTCCAAGCATACCTGACATATAACAGGTGCTTCATAATTATATCTTGAATAAATAAGTATTAGGTTTTAGTATATAGAATATACTGATCCTGTTGGTTTCTTGAGAAATTTTTATGTAAATGGAAATTCTAAAACAAAATGTGGACATTTCTCAGGCTTAGGCTAATAAATGAATTATTTTAAAGCTATATGAGCTATAACTGTACATTCTTGAGTAATATGTCATGTATATCCTCCTAGCTGGTTTTTGTTGGAGAACTAGAAAGGCAAGCAGTTTGACTTAGAGTCTCATAGTGGCACGACTGCAGCTCATTGCAACCTCCACCTCCCAGATTGAAGCCATTCTCCTGTCTCAGCCTCCTGAGTAGCAGGGACTACAGGCACACGCCACCATGCCCTGCTAATTTTTGTATTTTTAGTAGAGATAGGGTTTCACCTTGTTGATCAGGCTGGTCTCGAACTCCTAACCTCAAGTGATCTATCCGCCTCAGCCTCCCAAAGTGCTGGGATTACAGTCGTGAGCCACCATGCCTGGTCTATTAACCTTAATTGATAATTGAGAAAACTGAAGTCCCAAGAAATTAAGTGCCTTGCTTACCACTAGAGGAGACAAAACCAGATTAAAACCGAAGTCTTCTGACTTCCAAACTCTACATTCTTCTTTTCACACCATGATACTGTTCCACTTTCCTAACTATCTTTTTCTCTCACTTCCTTTTATAGTTTTGTGTAGTTTTTTTTGTTTGTTTGTTTTTGTTTTTTGTATTTTCTTTGAGACAGAGTCTTGCTCTGTTGCCAAGCTGGAGTGTAGTGGCGTGATCTCGGCTCACTGCAAACTCCGCCTCCCAGGTTCAAGCGATTCTCCTGCCTCAGCCTCCCGAGTAGCTGGGACTACAGGCGCGTGCCCCCATGCCTGGCTAATTTTTTTTTGTATTTTTTTGGAGAACTAGAAAGGCAAACAGTTTGACTTAGTGTTGGATTTAGTAGAGCTCTTGATCTCCTGACCTCATGATCTGCCCACCTCAGCCTCCCAAAGTGCTAGGTTTACAGACATGAGCCACCTCGTCTGGCCTTAGTTAACTTTTATAATCTTAGTTTTGGTACATTATAGAGTATGTGGTTTAGCTAACTATTTTTTATCTACTGTAGAAAACATACCATATTCCTCCGACTATAGCAATAGAAATAAACCCCTGTAACTGAGATTTAATTATTCTTGTTTTTTTTTAATGATAGAAACTTCGGGAAAAACAAAAAGTTATACGAGAAAGTCATGGTCCAAATATGAAACAAGCAAAAATGTGGCGTGATTTGGAACAATTAATGGAATGTAAGAAACAGTGCTTTCTGAAACAACAAAGCCAAACTTCCATTGGTCAGGTAATTCAGGAGGGTGGGGAGGACCGGCTAATACTGTGAATTCTTGTGTCATCGTTTGGGGTTTTACTTGATACCACTAGCTATAAGCCTAATCTCATAATGTATTTCTTTTTTGAAACTGATTTGTATAGCATTTTGTTTTCAGAAGAGCCATTCTTTATTAAGTTTTCATAGAAAATAATGTTAAGGTAGATTTAGTTTGAATGTTTTTTCATATGAAAAAGAGGCTTTTATTCTTTTCCATAGTTTAGACATCACTGGCGTCTTCTGAGTTTTATGAGACAGGAAACTAAGTTTACTATCTGTAAATGTAAACATATGTCCATTAAGAAACATGTAGTTTTTTTTTAGAATGTAATAACCCAGTGGCTTACTGTTTTTCTTAATCTCTTTTAAAAAAACTTTAGAAGAATCTTTTAGGAACTAATATCTCTTGTTCTGAAGAAACATTTATCTGACGTTCAGCAGTTCCTACAGTTTTACTTCAGTTTATTTTTCTTCTGTAAAATGCAAGAAAATTTAATATTTTGACTAACATGTCTTTTCTGTTTGTATCATTTAAAGGCAAATAAACTTGGTACGTATTTCATATCTATTTAAAAAATGTATAGTTGTCTTGTGTCAAAATTTATTCTTTTTAAAGTATTAACATCTAATATTAAATTGAAGGATTATTACTTCTTTTCTTTTCTTTTTTGAGACGGAGTCTCGCTCTTTTGCCTAGGCTGGAGTGCAGTGTCATGATCTCGGCTCACTACAAGCTCCACCTCCCAGGTTCATGCCATACTCCTGCCTCAGCTTCCTGAGTAGCTGGGACTACAGGCACCTGCCACCATGCCCGGCTAACTTTTTGTATTTTTAGTAGAGACAGGGTTTCACCGTGTTAGCCAGGATGGTCTCGATCTCCTGACCTCGTGATCTGCCTGCCTCGGCCTCCCAAAGTGCTGGGATTACAGGCATGAGCCTACACGCCTGGCCACATTATTACTTATTTTCACCAAAAATCTATTACAGACTTTTTTTTCTTTTTTTTGAGGTGGAGTCTCACTCTGTTGCCCAGGCTGGAGTGCAGTGGTGTGATCTCAGCTCACTGCAACCTCTGCTTCCGGGATTCAAGCAATCCTCCTGCCTCCACCTCCCAAGTAGCTGAGATGACAGGCGCCCGCCATCACACCTGGCCAATTTTTGTATTTTTAGTAGCAACAGGGTTTCACCATGTTGACCAGACTGGTCTTGAACTCCCAACCAACATCAGGTGATCTGCCTGCCTCAGCCTCCCAAAGTGTTGGGATTACAAGCATGAGCCACTCATGCCTGGCCTATTACAGATTTAATAATATAATAACCAACCTGGGCACAGTGGCTCATGCCTGTAATTCCACTACTTTGGGAGGCTGAGGCAAGCAGATCATTTGAGGTCAGGGGTTCGAGACCAGCCTGGGCAACATGACAAAACCCTGTCTCTACAAAAAATACAAAAATTAGCCGGGTGTGGTGGCACACCTGTGGTCCCAGCTACTTGGAAGGCTGAGGCTAGAGAATCACTTGAACCTGGGATGTGGAGTTTGCAGTGAGCGAAGATCACGCCACTGTACTCCAGCCTGGGCAATAGAGCAAGACTCTGTCTCAAAAAATAATAATAATAATGTAACAATAATCTGATAGTTGTGGGAACCGTTATTTTATTTCATTTTATTTTTTCTTTGAGACAGTCTCTTGCTCTGTTGCCCAGGCTGGAGTATAGTGGTGCAATCTCAGCTCACTGCAACCTCTGCCTCCCAGATTCAAGCAATTCTCCTGCCTCAGCTTTGCGAATAGCTGGAATTACAGGCATGCACCACCACACCTGGCTAGTTTTTATATTTTTAGTAGAGATGGGGTTTCACCATGTTGGCCAGGCTGGTCTCGAACTCCTAAGCTCAAGTGATCCACCCGCCTCAGCCTCCTAAAGTGCTGGGATTACAGTTACAGGCATGAGCCACCACGCCCAGCCTGATATTTTAAATATAAAAAAATTTTCATAGAATATAGATATCACATATTAAATGTAGCACAAGACTCAAAGTGAAATTCAAGAGTTCAAAGTGCTTCCAATCTCTGCTTCATTTGGACAAGGTACTTGAAGATTTCTTTGGTTTCCCTTAGAAAGATACCAAATTCATGTGCCATGCTTTACTTCATTTCAATTTCAGTACTTTTTCAAAATATCTTGCCTTTAGATTTGAAAACTCAAATTTCGAATTATTAGCATGTCCATCTTAGGCTAGTTCTTTTCAGCTGTCTTTAAAAAAATTTTTTGTTGTTTTTTTTTTTAGAGATGGGATCTTTCTCTGTTGCCCAGGCTGGGAGGCAGTGATATAATCATAGCTCAATGCAGCCTCAAACTTCTGGGGTCAAGTTAGCTGGGACTATAGGCACATGCCACCATGCCTGGCTAATTTTTTTTTTTTTTTTTGGTAGAGATGCCATGTAAGCTGTTTTTGTGTCAGTATAAACAAATACCTGAGGCTGGCTAATTTATAAAGAAAAGAGGTTTAATTGGCTCATGGTTATGCAGGCTGTACAGGAAGCATGGTGATGGCATCTCCTCTTGGCCAGGGCCTCAGGTGAAAGCTTCATGGTGAAAGGGGAACCAGCACATCATATGGAAAGAGCAGGAGCGAGAGGTCAGGGGCAGTTGTCACTCACTGTTAAAGAACCAGATCTTGTGTGAACTCAGAGCTAGAAATCACTAATCACCGCGGGGATGACATTAAGTTATTCACGAGGATCCACCTCCATGATCTAGACACCTCCCACCAGGCCTCACCTCCAACACTGGAGATTACATTTCAACATGAGATTTGGAGGGAACAAACATCCAAACCATATTAGATGGGGTCTCCTTTTGTTGCCCAGGCTAGTCTTGAACTTGTGGCTTCAAGTGATCCTCCCACCTTGGCCTCCCAAAGTGCTAGGATTAGGCATAAGCTACCATACTTGGCCCAAAACTTTTTTTTTTTTGTTTGAGATGGAGTTTCGCTCTTGTTGCCCAAGCTGGAGTGCAATGGCGCAATCTCAGCTCACTGCAACCTCCATCTCCCAGGTTCAAGCCATTCTCCTGCCTCAGCCTCCCAAGTAGCTGGGATTACAGGCATGTACCACCACCAAAAATATTTTTTAAAGAAGAAAATTGTTTCTACCCTGTAAAAAATATGGATCTCTTTGTTCCCATGTGTGTCCTACTCTTAATTTTTGTTTGAAAGGTTTTTTATTGGTAATCAAAGAGCCTCACTAGCTAGAGATAATTGGTAATTCTAGGAGCTGTAGCAAGAAGAGATGGGGTCCATCAGAATAAGGAAGAACTGGACTTACCGGGAAAGTATGGAGAGAAATATCTTTTAAATTTTTATAAGGAAAACAGAAGTATTTCAGTGTTCATAAGTGATTTGAATTGGTCCTCTGCTTGTTTTATCCTCTTATTTGGGCAAGTATCAGCTGCCAGCATTGTCATTTGTGCCTTTAGATCAACTAGCAGATCAGCAATCCCCCAAAAGAGGAAAAGCTGTGTCTTAGTGTGTAGAAACAAATCCTTAATTCAATCATCATTTTTTGGATAGTGACATAGATATATTTGTGTGGTGTTGGTTACTGGCATGTTGTTTTTAAGCCAATAGTTAAGTGATGCTCCTTTAAACAGAATATGAATTCCTTTGCAAGTATTTGAAAAAGACTAGATGCCCTTTATAGAAACAGCATTTTATTCCTCCAGAGGAAAGTCAGTTCACAAAATTATTAAGCCTAGTGATTAATTATTTTTTAGCCCTTCACTGTCTTTGGTACTCCTCTTGATTTTTAAAATGGTTGATGACAGATACTCCACAGAATCCTTAGAATTCTACTGATTTGATTATTACTTGCCATCTTTACTCCATACAGAAGGAATATGTGGATTAAACACAAAGGCAGCTCCAAAATTACTTTATTCACTGAAGCAGAACATCATTATTACTTCAAGAAAAGCAAACTGAAGAAATAAAACTCTAAAAGTACAAAGTTATTTATAGATTGTGTGTAACATTGGACATTTAGTAATGCAGCTTAATGGGTTTAGTGCAGTGACTTTCCACTCATTTCATGATTTGATTGGAACATTAAAAAACTTTAACTAACCTTGACAGTCTTTGACAGCTGGCACTTACTAAAGAGCTTATTACATTTTTCCTTCAGGATTGATACTCTGGCTAGCTAATTGATCAGAGTACTTAATCATTTCAGAAACTAATTTGTCTTTCATGTGATGGCCCAAATAAAGGAGAAGAATGCAGCCTGTGAAATCTGCCTCTGTGTTCACAGATTTCCTTCTTCTAGTTGCCAACCGTTGCATGGGACTGACTGTATGATTGTAAATTTCAAAAGGCCACTGCTTATCTTGCTTTCTGTATTAATTCAGGAAACAATCCAAATTTAAATGGTGCCCTTTAAGAAGAATCTTATAATAGGATAATGTGCTTTCTGTTATAAATCTGTTAACTGAATTCCAAAGCCATGTATTTTCTAGGTCTGGAGAATGTACCAGAAGGGTCTTAGAATACTGTTCAAATCCCTATGGAAATAAAACCAGAAATTGCAGAACACCTACCTTTTTCTTTAGATTAATACTTGCCCTTATTTTGCTCTAATTCAGGAGACGATAATAAAGGAAGGAATTTCATTTAAACTATCAAATAAACGTAAATGTGTTATTCTGCCTAATTAACATTTATAAATTTGTAAGATCTATGCACTTTCCAAGTCCATTTCTTTTTTTTTTTGAGACAGAGTTTTGCTCTTTTTGCCCAGGCTGGAGTGCAATGGCAGGATCTTGGCTCCCTGCAACCTCCGCCTCCCGCGTTCAAGCAATTCTCCTACCTCAGCCTCCCAAGTAGCTGGGATTACCGGCATGTGCTACCACGGCCAGCTAACTTTTTGTATTTTTAGTAGAGATGGGGTTTCACCATATTGGTCAGCTGGTCTTGAACTCCAGACCTCAGGTGATTCACCCGCCTCGGCCTCCCAAAGTGCTGAGATTACAGGCATAAGCCACCGCGCCCGGCCCCAAGTATGTTTCTTAACTTTTTAAGGTAACACAATACAGAGCACTTTTTATAATTTGAGTAAAATAAAAGACTAAATATATTGCTGAAACTAAAAATATACAAATTTGCAGAATTCTTCTGAGTTGAATATGAAAAATGGCAAACTGATAACTTGTCAAAGCTGTCTCTACAAAGGCAAAGTCAAAGTTTGCATTGAAAAATGACTTTGTAGCTGGGCACAGTGGCTCACGCTTGTAATCTCAGCACTTTGGGAGGCCAAGGCAGGCAGATCGCCTGAGGTCAAGAGTTCGTGACCAGCCTGACCAACAAGGAGAAATCCCATCTCTGCTAAAAATACAAAATTAGCCAGGCGTGGTGGTGTATGCCTGTAATCCCAGCTACTCGGGAGGCTGAGGCAGGAGAATCACTTGAACCTGGGAGGTGGAGGTTGCAGCGAGCCAGATTGCTCCATTGCACTCCAGCCTGGGCAACAAGAGCGAAACTCCATCTCAAAAAAAAAAAAGAAAAAAGAAAAAGAAAAATGACTTTGTATGCAGGTGTGTGTCTTATAGAAGCCTTGTCTTATGCAGGCATTCTACCCTATATTAGTGACTAATGAGTGTGAGTAAATGACTTGTTTCTACAAAGGATTCTAGGTGCTTACATCATTCATCTTGTCTGGCATGAAGGAGTCTTTAGCCCCAGGGAACGGGTAAGATAGCATCCTGATGATTAACTTTCTTTAAACTTGGTTTTATCAGTAACGTCATTGTTACTGATTGTTACTCACCTACAGGTGAGGAGTAGATTACATATGCAACAGATCTTTCTTTTTTAGACAATTCATGGCAGCCAGGAGAGAAATAAAGCTGTATCTTTATTAAATATGTAAATTATTCCTCCACTCATACTGGCTTAGCTCCTCTTCCTCTTCCTTTTAATGAGAGCAGTTTAAATTAGAGCTGCTTGGCGTATGGCAGCCAGGCCTGGGATGAGTGTTTTGTCTCGGGGGATGGAGAGGGATCATTAAAAGTTATCTATGTATTTTTTATCTTTGACCCTACTGTCTTAAGATAATCTTAAAAAGAGAAGTTGACTGTAAATATTGTTTAGCCCCACCCCATCCTTGCAAAAGAAATCAAAAAATAAAACACAGATCCCAAATAAGTATTTTTAAGAGACTTGGACAAACATATGCTTTCTGCTCCTATGCTCCCTCTTTTGGCAAACTGGAAGTACTTTCTTGGCAAACATCGATATTTTCACAATTTCCTTTCCAGAATTGCTGAGAGGCTTGAGTCACCAAACTTGGTTTACTGCTATGGAAATTCACTATTCCGAGCACAGGAAGAAATTAAAGATTTTTGTTTTTCGGTGAAAGTATGTGTTTACACCTCAGTTCAGAGTGTAACAGCAGGTTCCTGGCTTGGCTGCTTAATGCTGCATGCGATATCCTGGTAAACAGTCATAGAATTTTGGAGCTTGAAAGGAACCTCAGAATGATTCATATAATCATTTATTAGATCAGGAGCTTTGAGGGATCTCTTCCAACCTCTCTCCAGTGTGGAAATCAGTTCTGTAGCGCATGTAGCGAATCACTTTCCAGCCATAGTAGTGTACCCGCAATGCGGCTCACTCCTCATGAGGGAGCCTGTTTCATTGTTAGAGCACAACCTAATTAAGTTATTGGTTCTGAAACTGAAGCAGACTTACAAAGGACTTTTTATGAACTTCAGTTATGCAAAGCAAGATTTAACAAATTTTATTCCCTGAAGCTCTAATCACGACCATGATCATGAGTGATTCAAGCAAATAACCTGGTACTGAGCACTCCATTTGTACCAGGCACTGTCCTAAATGCTTTATATGTGTAGAACTAACATAACTCTCACAATAACCTTATGAGGCAGCTGCAATTATCCGCATTTTATAGATAAGGGAACTGAAGCACAGAGAGACTTTCACAATATTATACAACTAATGATTGTGGCAGAGCCAGGATCCAAAACCTGTGCTCTTAAGTACTTATATTGCAGTGTGACCCATGTATATACCTATTGTATATAAGCAAACAGATTGATGTCTGTTTATGAGTTATGGTATGAAATAATTTTTAGTGCTTATTATAAAATTATAGTACCTTTTTTTAAAAAATGTGTTTGCTTACTATACCTAAAGAATAAACTTTACTAAATGGTTAAAAGTAACCTCAACCAACCAGATGAGGGAATTATACTGAAAATAAATGTTCAGTAAATGAATGAAAGAAATGAGTAGTAGTTTTAAATACAGAGCAAACTGAAACTTTATAGGGTTATCATTTAAATCTATCTGTGTGTTAAAATCATGCATGTCTCCAATTGCTGGACATTTAGATCAACTCCAGTTTTTCACTTTATGAACAATGCTGGAATGAAACTTAAAGATTGAAATACAGCTGGGTGGCCAGGCACGGTGGCTCACGCTTGTAATCTCAGCACTTTGGGAGGCTGAGGTGGGCGGATCATGAGGTCAGAAGTTCCAGACCAGCCTGACCAACCCAGTGAAACCCCATCTCTACTAAAAACACAAAAATTAGCTGGGCGTGGTGGCAGGTGCCTATAATCCCAGCTACTTGGGAGGCTAAGGCAGGAGAATCTTGAACCCAGGAGGCCTCCGCCTGGGTTGCAGTGAGTCGAGGTCACACCACTGCACTCCAGCTTGGGCGACAGAGCTAGACTCCGTCTGGAGAAAAAAAAAAAAAGAAAGAAAGAAATACAGCTGGGTGTGGTGCTCATGCCTTATCCTAGCACTTCGGGAGGCTACGGCAAGAGAATCACTTGAGCCCAGGAATTTGAGGCCAGCCTGGCCAACATGGTGAAACCCTGTCTCTACTAAAAATACAAAAAATTAGCCGAGTGTGGTGGTGCACGCCTGTAGTCCCAGCTACTTGGGAGGCTGAGGCAGGAGAACCGCTTGAACCCTGGAGGCAGAGGTTGCAGTGAACCAAGATTGTGCCACTGCACTCCAGTCTGGGTGACAGAGCGAGATTCTGTCTCAAAAAATAAAAATTAAAAAAATTAAAAAAGATTAAAATACAATAAGGTAATTAAGCAAAACCACAAAATTTATCAAATTCGGTTAAATCCAGAATCTGTTGAACAGTTTTATAGATATTTCTTGTCTTTTTCTGTGAAAATACCAACAGGCAATTTCTTTCTTAACCAAAGAAATTAACAAGATAATACTTGATTAATAGGAGAATGAAATTAAAAGTCCACTCATTTATTTTGATGCGAATATTTGTTATCTTGTGTGCCTGACACTGTGCTAAGTGCTAAAATAGAAATTGAACATGACCTAGTTTTTGCTCTCAAAGACCTCACAGTTTAGAAGACTCAAATATTATGCAGCAAAATAAGTGCTGTGTGTACAAAGAACAGGGAGCTCAGAGGAAGCAGCAATTAGTACTGATGGGGGATTGTGGAAAGATTAACAGAGGAGATGGAACTTGAGCTGATTTGTAAGGATGAGTTAAGATGTTGATAGGCATGGGAAAAGTGAAGACATAAAGGCATTTAAGGATACAGCATGTGAAGGAAAGGACAAGAAGTCTAGTAGGGCTCGGTAAGTTACACAGGTGCATGGGAGATGGGGAAAGAATTCATATTATGTATCAAGCTCTTGAGTTCTGTAATGTGCTGGACACTCAGACTGAATGAAAAGGTGCAGTAAAAATATAAGTGTGGCCCCTGTTGTTAACACGACTATATATTAAACAACAGTAAACACATCAAGAAGTAATAACCAAGTACTAAATTTTGTGGAGCAATAGAAATTCAATCAAATTGGAGCTATAGGGAAGAGCAGAAGGTCAAAGAAGAGTAGAGTCAAGGAGGCTTTATCAAAGAGGTAGGAACTGATCTGGGCCTGGAAGGATGGGTAAGATGTGGACAGATGAATGGGAGAACATGGCAGAACAGCAGGAGTGAAACCAGCAAGTATTCATCACCCACCACTCCCTTATCCAGCTCTATAGCAAGTATATTGAGCAAGAAAAGCATGGCTGTCACTTTTAAGCAGCTTAAAGTCCAGTTATCAAGATAAGCGATGTAACCAACAAATCAGTGCTGGATTAGCCAGTAGGCAAACATGCACTACAGATTTTCTGAAAGTATATGATATTTCAAAAATCAAAGAAGTTTCCATTAGAAAAAGCTGGGCACGGTGGCTTACACCTGCAATCTCAGCACTTTGGGAGACCAAGGCCGGGCAGATCACTTGAGGTCAGGGGTTTGAGACCAAACTGGCCAACATGGCAAAACCCCTGTCTCTACTAAAAATATAAAAATTACCCAGAGTAGTGACGCGCGCCTGTAATTCTAGCTACTCGGGAGGCTGAGACACGAGAATCGCTTGAACCCAGAAGGCAGAGGTTGCAGTGAGCCGAGATCGCACCACTACACTTCAGCTTGGGTGATGGAGTGAGACTCTGTCTCAAAAAAAAAAAAAAAAAGGAAAAGAGAAAGAGAGAGAGAAAAAAAGGAAGGAGGGAAGGAAGGAAGGAAGAGGGAAAGAAAGAGAGAAAGAGCAGAACTCTGTTAGACTTCCTTATATTCGTATTATGGTTTAGTCTTTGTTTCTTCTCATTGCATGTAGTGGGGAGGGGAACTATAATTTTTTGGAAGTTAGAGTCTCTAAAAATTTTAGTTCAGCTTCCTGGAATGGGATAAAAACCACATAGATAGTAGAGTTAATAATCCCCACAGAACTCAAAGTGGGAGAAAATACAGGCTGGAGCAATCTGGTCAGCCTAGAGGAGAAAACATTCAAGTTAAACCTCTTATGGAAGCTTGAGTAGAAATTGGCTCCAAGAGGGAGCAAGAGCTCCGTGGAGAAAAGGAAGCCCCAAAAGGGAATGCCCTGAGGTATGAGCCAGACCCAGCCGGAGGGAACAGAGAAGATGAAGCTGGAAAGGGAGTGAGAGATTGAAGCTGAAGGTTTCTAGTTGGTGGGATTATCAGCCATGGTCTGTTGGTAATAACAACAGGAGTTCTTCTTAATATCCTTTTGAACTGTTGATGAAATGAGATTCACTGCATTGTAGAGAATGACAAATTATCATCTTCCACGGAAGACTGCCATCATGGACTAAGTTTGGTTTATTTTTTGTGACAGAGAAGAGCAATACAGGTGGTAAGCCAGTTAATTTGTTTCATTGTGTTTTGGGGGTTATTTTTTACACTAATTGAAAGATTCGGCATTTTATTTTATTTTATTTTATTTATTTATTTATTTATTTATTTATTTATTTTAGAGAGAGATGGGGTCTCACTATGTTGGCCAGGTTGGTCTTGAACTCCTGGCCTCAAGTGATCCTTCCACCTCGGCCTCCCAAAGTGCTGGGATTATAGGCATGAGCCACCACGCCCAGCCTCATTTTATTATTTGATTCAGTTTACAACTCTATATCATCTATGCCATCACTTCTTTGTTACATTTAACATTTTCAGATTTGTGAAAAAGATTTGATAATTCCAAGGAATTAAGCTGAGAAACAGAATATTTAGAAGTTATATTTTTATTGGGAGACACTTTTATAAGTTTATGTGATTTCCCATATTTTAAAAAATGTGAGAAAAATTCAAAGCTGGTTTTTCACTGTGCTTGATTTTTTTTTTTTCTAAAGAGGAGGAAAAAGAACTTTTTACAGAATAATTGCCAAGTCGGCAAGGAGAGCCTCAGCCCTTGAAGAGACCCACTTGCTAGTGACTTGGCAGTGTCAAACAAATGTTCAACTTTTATTCTGACACTTCTTGAAGAATTTGATTGAAACTATATATGTCCAGATAACACTCAGCAAAGTGCCCTTCTTGCATTTGTTTCAAGATATATTTGGAAACAAAGAGATGACCTTGGACTCAGCTGCTTTTCCAATTTAGGACTTCTCTCTAGGTCTACTGAATAATAATATTCCCCAACATTGAAAATTCAACAAATGGAAAAACATTTTAGTTACTATATGCCATAAGTCCTATGATAGAGGACTTTTTCTCCCAGCAATATGTTCTGCTTCTAAAAGAAATGATATATTTAGCCCACAAACTCTATATTAGCTTTCTAACCATCTACTTCGACATACATTTAGGAACACATTTGCTTTTCATCAGAGTGCCTTTTTGTAATCTAAATTGAGCTATCCTTGCTTTTTAAAATATTTTAGCATCTAAGAAATAAAAAAACAACCCGCAGTTAACTCTTCGCCTTTGCTTTCTGGCATTCATATTTTCATTTGAAGCCGGGGTTCATTGCAGCTTGATGTAAGATCTAAAAGAAGACTTTGGAGGCCCTGACATCCCCTTCTAAGGCTATTGCCACCTGTCCAGATGACAATAGAAGTCCTGCTGGTCCAACCTCAAGCCTGAATGCCAAGATTAGCTTCCAATTGTGTCTACATTTAGCCCATGGAGATGGATGTTTTAACTATCATTAAAGTGACATCCTTTCAGTTACCATTTTGCATATTTTGGAGGTTTCAGCAGTTCCATTTTTAATTTGTTGTCATGGTCACAGGATAAGACGTAGGTAACCTTCCTGATAAGGTGGTTTTACTTTTAAGCAATTAAATAAGAATTTTAGTCTGATCATTGTCCTACATGGCATATTATCAGGGATAGCCACATTTTCTATTTTCATATGGTTTCCTAATATGTTATAAGCAATTAGAGCATTTATAGAGATTAATATGTTGTTAGCTGCAGTCTTCAGCATGTGCAATACATTAATTCCCAATAAAATGCTGCATTACAGGCCGGGCGCGGTGGCTCACGCCTATAATCCCAGCACTTTAGGAGGCCGAGGCGGGCGGATCACGAGGTCAGGAGATCGAGACCATCCTGGCTAACACGGTGAAACCCCATCTCTACTAAAAATAAAAACACAAAAATTTAGCCAGGCGTGGTGGCAGGCACCTGTAGTCCCAGCTACTTGGGAGGCTGAGGCAGGAGAATGGTGTGAACCTGGGAGGTGGAGCTTGCAGTAAGACGAGATCGCACCACTGCACTCCAGCCTGGGCTACAGAGCGAGACTCTGTCTCAAAAAAAAAAAAAAAAAAAAAAAAAAAAAAAAATCCTGCATTACACATAGGCACATGCAAACACACACATGTGGAAATAGATACACCATATTATAACACTTTATTAAAGGATAGCTTGTTCTCAAGGATTCCTTCTTGCTTGATTTGGAATCAAGTATTAATCATGTGTTAGCCACAAGGTGAGTGATTTTGAAAAGATAGTCGAGAGATTTTTAAACTATTTCCACAAAGTAAATAAAAAATAAAAAATAAACTATTACCACTTAAGATACTATTAAAGATGACCCATCTCATCAGATGACAGACTGATCTTAAATTTTGGTTATACATTATTGCACCAGCATTACTTTGCAGTCTCCTAACTCAAAAACTAGTGACTTTTAGTTTTAATCTAACATTTACTCCTTTATAAAAACAGATTTTGCATGGGAGTGGCTATCCTGTGTACATTTCCATTATTGTAGTGAAGTTGAACTAGAGCAACTGCTAAAGTCACCACACTGCCCTAATTAAGTAAATAAGATCATGTACTACTCAAGCTAATTGATTTTACGGAATACACAGGAAAAGTAAAGTTTGCTTTTCCTGGTGTCAGAGATGCCTCCAGCTACACAACTTTTGAACTGTGCTTTTTAAAGGCTTGAAAAAACAAAATAAGATGATCTACAGAATGTTCCTAAGATCTGTAGTGCTCAAGGACAATTTTAATGAGGAAAATGTCTCAGAGAAAAGGTAATTTTATTTCAAGTAATAGATTAAATCTGAGTTTTGCTGAATGTTTTCATAGAACACTGTGTGTTTTCAAGAGTAAGTTTTCTCATCCTTCTTCTAAAAACATAGACAAAAGTTTGAGCCAAAAGGTCAGAATATTCCTGCATGGTTTGTGGTTATTAAGTTTGTCAGTATGTTTCAGGAGTCTTTCTCTCTATCCATCTCTCCTTATATTTTCAGATACACTTAACCAAATCAGCATTATTGATGTTCAGTGAGTATTCATTGCTTGAGAGTAAGAACCCCTCTGTCAGCCTTCCTAAAACAGGAGAGATTTCTGGAAATTACAGAATAACATGGTTCTTTAAACTCTTTTTATGTGCCTTCCATAGATGGAATTCATATCCAGCTGTCTGCACATTTATATGGAATCTGATTTATCCAAATACTGTATTTGCAGTCCCATCAAATCAAAGGTTTCTTTTTCTTATTGTGCCCAAATATCTACCTTGATATTTTAGTTACAAAATCCAGATGTGTTTATTTAAGGATGCAGATCTAATATGCTTTTAGTTAAAACTCATTTAAAAATCTTTCTTTAGCCAGGCATGGTGGCGCATGCCTGTAGTCCCAGCTACCCAGGAGGGTGAAGCAGGAGGATCTCTTGAGCCGGGGAGTTGTTCAAGGCTGCAGTGAGCTATGATTGCACCACTGCCCTCCAGCCTGGGCAACAGAGCGAGACCCTGACTCTAAAAAAAGAAAAAAAATCTTTCTTTGTTTTCTGTCTCTGACCTTCTCCATCTTTTTTTGTTCATATATATTTTTCCTCCCTGTTTATGAGTGTTATACTGTTCAAATGTTTTCTGATTCTCTCTCACACAAATTTTCTTGTCAGTGGTAGGTTCACTTTTGAAGCATCTTTCAAAAATATATTTTCATTTTAAAAAATATATGCCGTAGGTATGATTGCATAACTCTGAAGATACTAAAAACCACTGAATGTGTAAATACACAAAAGTCTTCTTTAAATTGGTGAATTGTATGATGTATGAATTATGTCCCAATAAAACTGTTAAAAATTAAAATGCATGCTCAATGTAACAAAATTCAAATAATATCAAAGAATATTAGATTAAAAAATAAAAAGCCCTCACCTGCCCCAGTCTTCTCACTCCTCAGAGGTATTTCCACAATTCGGTTTTTAAATACTCTTCCAGATGCTGTAATTATATGCACAAGCACATAAATGCATTTACATCCTTTTAAAATTTTATACCAGGGCCGGGGCATGGTGGCTCATGCCTGTAATCCCAGCACTTTGGGAGGCCGAGGCAGGCAGATCACTTGAGGTCAAGAGTTCAAGACCAGCCTGGCCAACATGATGAAACCCCATCTCTACTAAAAATACAAAAATTACCTGGGTGTGGTGGTGTGTGCCTGTAATTCCAGCTGTTTTACTCGGGAGGCTGAGGCAGGAGAATCTCTTGCACCCAGGAGGCGGAGGTTGCAGTGAGCCGAGATTGCGCCACTGCACTCCAGTCTGGGCAACAGAGCGAGACTGTGTCTCAAAAAAAAAAAAAGTTATATTCACTGTTCTACAAATGGATTTTTGAATTAAACCATAAATTCTAATCATAGGTATAGAGTTGTCTTAATAGTTGCAAATATTCTCCTATATGGATATAGCACAATTAATAAGTTCCTTATTGAATGTCCTTCTACATATATCTTTGCACCCTTATACAAATATATCTCTAAGAAAAATATTAGAATTGTTGGGTTCAGAAGTATGTGCATTTAAAATTTTAATAGATACTGCCAAATTGCCCTCCAAAAATCTGGTGCCAATTTGTACACCCATCAGCTGGATATGAGCATGCCTAATTTGCTGTCCCCTTGCCTATACTAGGTATACTAGCTTTATAATAGTCTTGCCAATATGATAGATATAAAGAATCATTTTGATTTGTATTTTAAAAATTATGAGTGTGGTTGAGTTTTTTATGGCCCAGTTTTAATTTATGTAACATTTTTCTGTAATTGAAAAAGAAATCCGTATAATTATTGTAGAAATTTTGAATGATACAGGAGATAATTGAGATCACCCAGAGATTATTACCATTTACAATTTTCCTTTAGGCTTCTTTCTGTGAAATTCATCTTGTGATTATTTTTAACAAAAAATGAAGGTTGGTAAAGGAGCTTTTTAAAAAATATGGAATTTATCAAATGAAGTTATAATTTAGCTACTTGGAGTACTACTTTGAGCTCTTTTAATCAAGGTGCTATATAAATATTCAGTGGACTGAGCTCCCCTCTGCCAGGCTTTTGGGATCAGCTAGTGGAAAAATCATTAACATTCTTTCCTTGACACTGTCCTGTCACTACCAAGTCTCCAACTGAATGAGATTTCCTCGGAGCCAATAGGTCTGTTAGTGGCGGAGATGCAGCTCTATGATCCCTTAATGGCAGGGAAGATAGAGGAATCTTTACCTTTAAAATCTATACCTTTAAAAAAGAGCGTACACATTTCCTTAAATATATGTGTGTGTGTGTTTACATACACATATATGTTTATGGTTGTGTGTATATAATAATTACACATACATAATATGTAAACAGGAGATGAGGTCAGTGAGCCAGGACAAGAACATAAAGAAGGTGTGGTGAACCCTGGGCGACAGTAAATGATTAGCATGTAGGGTCAGCCATTCAAAGACACATGCCCTGGATGCTTCCGTGTCTGTTTCTCCTTTTGGACTGTAAGAGCATGGAATGCAGGATTGGTTTCTGTTGACAGTTGTATTCCCTGCGCCTCCTTAGGCAGATAAGCAGGATTGATGAATAAATATTAGTTAAATGAAGAATGAAAGGGAAAGAGTATGTCTGGAGCAAATCACTTAATTGCTCTGAACCTCGATTTCTTTCCCTACAATTTCCAAGAATTATTGAAAGGATCAAATCAGGTAAGGTATGAAAATGGTAGATGAGACTGGGAACCCTCTCCAAGGAGATTGTCTCCTCATTCTTTTCACAGAGCTCAATATGGTTCCCATTCAGGCCCCAGTCAAGCAGGTCCTAGTATATAGCAACTGCCCAAGCATTCAATTTTTTTGACTAAACAAATAGAGAATAAAGTAAAGGTAATATAACTTTATAATTACAAATAACCATCCCCAGCGTCTCCAGTATACCCTACATGGAAACACACTTGTGTCCTCTTATACAGAAAGAAGCAGCCAGTGATATTGTCACAAAATTTACTAGAGAACAATTTAAGGGATCCTGATTATAATGAGAAAACTTGATATAGTATGTCCTGGGGACTTTGACATCTTAGTCATGGCTGCTTTCTCAGTAGTTCTAAGTACATAAATTTAATAATAGAGCACCCACAAGGCTTAGGATAAAGTTCATAGCAAATGGATGCTATTGTGACTTTAAGACACTTAGAAATGCATCTGTGTGATTATTGTTTAAAGGCGGAGATGCTAACTTGGGAAATCACATGATGCACGTATGGAATAGTAGCTATTCTGGGAGCTGGCCTTTTGCATGTGATTGTAATGAACATCTGTCCTTTTTAGCATATCTTCTATCAAATTGTCAAAGACAAGCAGTAAGTTACATTTTGAAGTTGTGATGAAATTTTCAAAAGCTATGCAACATTTTCTGTATTACTCAAGATAGATTCTATAACCTTTTTAAGTTTGTTGAAAGAGGAAGCAAAGTGTATTATAAAATCAGTTAAAATAAGAATGAATTTAGAATATAAAATAGCTTCGGCTCATAGACCTTAGAGAAGATTTACGTTTTTATTAAAACTTGATATAAATAGAAACATTTATCAGTCTTCTTTCATGTAATGACATAAATATAATAGACTGGCACATAAACTTTCCGCTCTCTATTTGTAACCAAAAGAATTGCATAATCAGGCAGGAACCAGGAAGTAAAAATAATCAAAGTTAAACCAAGTGGTCTGTTTTCATTACTCTAAGAAGAGTAAAAAATAAAGGCAAACACAGCCAGCAAGTTTCTTTATCAAATTTGAAAATTCTTTCCATGTCAGTTATACTTTAATAGCATGATAAAAATGAATTTTTATTAAGATTTTTTACTCAACACTGTGCTTGTAAAAATTTTTTTAATTTTAAATTGTGGTTAAAAAAACAGAACATAAAATTTACCATTTAACCATTTTTATGTGTGACATAGAGTAAACTATGCACATTGTTGTACAACGGATCTCCAGAATGCTTTTCATCTTGCAAAACTGAAACTCTAGACCCATGAAATAACAACTCCCCATTTTTCTTTCCTTCCAGCCTCTGGCATCTGCCATTCTACTTTCTATCTCTATGAATTTGACTACTCTAGATATTTCCTATAAGTGGAATTATGCAGTATTTGTCTTTTTGTGACTGGCTTATTTCACTTGGCATAATGTCCTCAAGAACACTGCTATCCGTGTCATCCATGTGTAGGATGTGTCAGAATTTCCTTCCTACTTTATTCCTTTTTATGATTGAATAATATTCCATTGCAGAGATATACTGCATTTTGTTTATTCATTCATCTGTTGACATTTGGGTGGTTTCCACTTTTTGGCTCTTATGTATAATGCTGCTGTGAACATTCATGTACAAGTTTTTGTGTGGACATGTTTTCAGTTCTTGGATTAATTCCACATGACAGAGTGGAATTAATGGGTCATATGGTAACTCCATATAGTAACTTTTTAAGGAACTGTAAAAACTTTTTCAAAGCGATTATATCATTTTATATTCCCAACAGCAAAGTATGAAGTTTCCAATTTCTCCACATCCATCACCAATCCTTGTTATTGTCCATCTATCTATCTGTCTATTTATTTGTTTATTTGTTTGTTTGTTTTTGAAATGGAGTCTCACTCTCGCCCAGGCTGAAGTGCAATGATGCCATCTTGTCTCACTGCAACCTCCGCTTCCTGGGTTTTTTGTTTGTTTTCTGGGTTTTTTTGTTTGTTTGTTTGTTTTTGAGACGGAGTTTCACTCTTGTTGCCCAGGCTGGAGTGCAGTGGCATGATCTTGGCTCACCGCAACCTCCACCTCCCAGGTTCAAGCAGTTCTCCTGCCTCAGCCTCCTGAGTAGCTGGGATTACAGGCATGCACCACCATGCCTGGTTAATTTTGTATTTTTAGTAGAGACAGGGTTTCTCCATGTTGGTCAGGCTGATCTTGAACACCTGACCTCAGATGATCCACCTGCCTCGGCCTCCCCAAGTGCTGGGATTAAGGCATGAGCCACCACGCCCAGCCAGCCTCCTGGGTTTAAGCAATTCTCCTGCCTCAGCCTCCTGAGTAGCTGGGATTTTTTTGTTTGTTTATTTGTTTTGTTTTTTGTTTTTATTTTATTTTTTGAGACGGAGTTTTGCTCTTGTTCCCCAGGCTGGAGTGCAGTAGCGTGATCTTGGGTCACTGAAACCTCTGCCTCCCAGGTTCAAGCAATTCCCCTGTCTCAGCCTCCTTAGTAGCTGGGACTACAGGCGCATGCCACCACACCTGGCTAATTTTCATATTTTTATTAGAGATAGGGTTTTACCACGTTGGCCAGGCTGGTCTCGAACTCCTGACCTCAGGTGATCCGCCTGTCTTGGCCTCCCAAAGTGCTGGGATTACAGGCATGAGCCACCATGCCTGGACTGTTTGTTTTTGAGACAAAGTCTTGAGTGTAGTGGCACAAACAGGGCTTATGGCAGCCTTGACCTCCTGGGCTCAAGCAGTCCTCCTGCCTTAGCATCCCATGTAGCTGAGACCACAGGCACATGCCACCACACATCTAATTTTTTAATATTTTGTAGAGACAGAGTTTTGCTATGTTGCTCAGGCTGGTCTTGAACTCCCGGGATCAAGCAGTCCTTCTGCATCAGCCTCCCAAAGTACTGGGATTACAGGCATGAGCCATCACACCTAGCCCCCATTTTTTCTATTACAGCCAACCTAATAGATGTGAAGTAGTAGTTCACTGTGGTTTTGATTTGCATTTCCCTAATGGCTGATTTTCATGTGTTTATTGGCCATTTAAATATCTTCTTTGGCAACATGTCTATTTAAGTCCGTTGCGTGCTTTTTTTTTTTTTTTTTTTGGAGACAGAGTCTTGCTCTGTCGCCCAGGCTGGAGTGCACTGGTGCAGTCTCAGCTCACTGCAACCTCTGCCTTCTGGGTTCAAGCAATTCTCGTGCTACAGCCTCCCGAGCAGCTGGGACTACAGGTGCGCACCACCACACGTGGCTAATTTTATATTTTTAGTAGAGATGGAGTTCACCATGTTGGCCAGGCTGGTTTTGAACTTTTGGCCTCAGGTGATTCACCCACCTCAGCCTCCCAAAGTGCTGGGATTACAGGTGTAAGCCACCATGCCCAGCCTCCTTCGCCTACTTTTAAAAATATATATCTAATTTTATTTAAAAATATAAATTTTTGGCCGGGTGCAGTGGCTCATGCCTGTAATCCCAACACTTTGGGAGGCTGAGGCAGGCAGATCACCCGAGGTCAGGAGTTCGAGACCAGCCTGGCTAACATGGCAAAACCCTGTCTCTACTAAAAATACAAAAATTAGCCAGGCACAGTGGCATGCACCTGTAATCCCAGTTACTTGGGAGGCTGAGGCAGGAGAATCACTTGAACCCAGGAGGCAGAGGGTGCAGTGAGCTGACATCAGGCCACTATACTCCAGCCTGGGTGACAGAGTGAGACTTCGTCTCAAAAAAAAAAGGAAAAATTGTGAGAGTTTATTTCTGAACTTCCCATTCTTTTCCATTGATGTATATATCTCTATCCTTATGGCAGTACCACACTGTCTTGATTACCTTCGCTTTGGAGTAAGTTTTGAAATTGGGAAAGTTTCAGTCTTCCAACTTTGTTCTTCTTTCTCAGGATTTTTTTTTTTTCTATTCTGGGTCCTGTGCATTTCCACATGAATTTTAAGAGCAGCTGGTCAGTTTCTGCAAAATGTTAGGGATGAATTGAATCTATAGGTCAGTTTGGGGAATGTTGTCATCTTAACAGTACTGTCTTCCAATCCATTAACAGGATGTCTTTCCATTTATTTAGATCTTCTTTTTTTTTTTTTTTTTTTTTTGAGATGGAGTTTTACTCTTGTTGCCCAGGCTAGAGTGCAATGGCGCAATCTCGGCTCACCACAACCTCCACCTCCCAGGTTCAAGCAATTCTCCTGCCTCAACCTCCCAAGTAGCTGGGATTACAGGCATTCACCACCACGCCCAGCTAATTTTGTATTTTAAGTAGAGACGGGTTTTCTCCACGTCGGTCAGGCTGGTCTCAAACTCCTGACCTCAGGTGATCCACCCACCTCAGCCTCCCAAAGTGCTGGGATTACAGGTGTGAACCAGCACGCCCAACTTTAGGTCTTCTTTTATTTATTTATTTATTTATTTTTTGAGACAGAGTCTCGCTCTGTTGCCCAGGCTGGAGTGCAGTGGCGCGATCTTGGCTCACTGCAAGCTCCGCCTCCCGGGTTCATGCAATTCTCCTGCCTCAGCCTCCCAAGTAGCTGGGATTACAGGTGCCCACCACCACGCCCGGCTAATTTTTTGTATTTTTAATAGAGACTGGGTTTCACTGTGTTAGCAAGGATGGTCTCGATCTCCTGACCTCATGATCCACTCGCCTCAGCTTCCCAAAGTGCTGTGATTACAGGCATGAGCCACCGCGCCCAGCCCCTTGCATTTATTTTTGACAATTTTTATAGTTTTCAGTTTTCAAGTCTTATATTTATTTTGTTAAATTTATTTCTAAGTATTTTATTCCCTTTGATGCTACTATAAATATAATTATTCCCTTAATTTCATTTTCAGATTAGCACTGCTAATGAACAAAAAATGGATTTTGTATATTGATCTTGTATCTTGCAATCTTGCTGAATTCATTTATTTGTTCTAACAGTTTTTTAATATGGAAAATACTATTTCTATATACAATACTATTTCTATATACAAGATTACACCGTCTGCAAATAGAGTTTTACTTTTTCCTTTCCAGTCTAGATGCCATTTCTTTTTCTTGCCTAATTGCCTTAGCTAGAACTTCCAGTACAATGTTGAATAGAAGTGATGACAGTGGACATCCTTGTCTTGTTCCTGATCTTCAGGAGACAGTATTCAGTCTCTCACCATTAAGTATTATTTTAGCTGTGGGTTTTAAGTGGATGCCTTTTATCAGATTGAGGAAGTTCTCTTCTATTCCTAGTTTGTTGAGTGTCTTTATCATAAAAGGGTGCTGCATTTTGTTCGGTGTTTTTTCTGCATCTATTGAGAAGATCATAGATGGGTCTTGTCTTTTATTCTATTATTATGTTGTATATATTAATTGGCTTTCAAGTGTTAAACCAACCTTTCATTCCTAGGATAAATCCCACTTGGTTATGGTGTATTATCGCTTTTATATGTGCTGGGTTCAGTTTGCTAGGTTTTTTTTTGTTTTTTGTTTTATTTTGTTTTGTTTGAGATGGAGTCTCACTTTGTCATCCAGGCTGGAGTACAGTGGCACAATCTCAGCTTACTGCACCCTCCACCTCCCAGATTCAAGTGATCTCCTTCCTCAGCTTCCCGAGTAGCTGGGATTACAGACGCACACCACCACGCCCGGCTAATTTTTGTATTTTTAGGACAAGATGGGGTTTTGCCATGTTGCCCAGGCTGGTCTCTAACTCCTGGCCTCAAGTGATTCACCCACCTTGGCCTCCCAAAGTGCTGAGACTACAGGTGTGAGCCACAACGCCGGGCCTCAGTTTGCTAATATTTTCATGAGGGTGTTTTACTTCAGTGTATGAGATACATTGGTCTGTAGTTTTCTTATGTCTTTGTCTAGTTTCCTACCTTACTTTTTATCTTTGCTTTGTTCCTTTTGATCATTTATTGCATAGAATGATCATAATTTTTTACTTATTCATCCAACTTTCTTTATGGAACACCTGTTCTATGCCAAACACTATTTTAGGCACTGGGGATCCCTTATGGAAAAGACAAAGTCCTTCTCTTATGGAGTTTATATTCTATGGGGTAAGACACAAAAAATTAAATAAGCCAGAAAATATCACATAGTAGTAAATTAACATCTTGTCCACTTTAGATGAGATGCATAGGGCAAGTTTCTCTGAAGATGTGTCCTTTAAGCTGAGGTATGATAAGAAGGAGCCATCCATAGACCGATATGTGAGAGAAGCATTCCAGACATAACATGCTATTAACTCATACAGAATCCACAAGGTAGGAAGAAGTTCTTTGTGTTTGAGAACCAGCAGGATGGCCAGTGTGGCCATGGCAGAGTCAGGGAAAAATGATATAAAGTGAGGTAGAAAGCCGCTCGGCATGCTGGAGGGCACCTGTAATCCCAGCTACTTGGGAGGCTGGGGCAGGAGAATTGCTTGAACTCGGGAGGTAGAGGTTGCAGTGAGCTGAGATCCTGCCATTGCACTCCAGCCTGGGGAACAAGAGCGAAACTCTGTCTCAAAATAATAATAATAATAATAATAAGTCAGGTAGGAAAAATGTGCAGAGTCCAGCTTATGGAGAGCTTTGTAGCTAGGATAAGGAAATTGGATTTTATTTTTATTTATTTATTTATTTATTTATTTTTTGAGAAGAAGTCTCACTCTGTCACCCAGGCTGGAGTGCAGTGGTGTGATCTCAGCTCATTGCAACCTCCGCCTCCCAGGTTCAAGTGATTCTCCTGCCTCAGCCTCCCGCATAGCTGGGATTACAGGCATGCACCACCACGCCAGCTAATTTTTGTATTTTTAGTAGAGACAGAGTTTCACCATGTTGGCCAGGCTGGTCTTGAACTCCTGACCTCACGTGAGCCAACTGCCTGGGCCTCCCAAAGTGCTACTGAGAAGACCTTGAAAGCTATTAAGCAAGGAAGGTGACATGAACTGATCTGAATTTTAAAAGATCACTAACTTTGAGTAGAAAATGGATGGTGTAGGGGTCGTAGAATGGAAGTAGGCAGGTCAGTTGAGGAGGTCATTGTAGAGAGATGTTAGATGATGATGGCTTAGACTAGGACAATTGAAGTAGAAATAGAGAGAAGTGGACAGCTACATGGTGTTTTTTGTGGAAATAGAGTCAATAAGACTTTCTGCAGGGTTGGGGGGAGTCACAGAAAGGGCTATCAGCAATGACTTTCAGATTTTTTCATGAATTGAGTTAGAAAAGATTAAGGGAGAAGCAGACTTAGGTAGGGCAGGTCAAATGAAGAGTTCTGCTTTGTCCATGTTAAGTACCCGTTAGACATCCAAGAGGAATTGTCAGGTAGGAGCTACATTTATGAGTCTGGCATTCCAGAGAGAGGTCAGGGCTGGAGATAAAGATAAATAAAGATTTTGGAATCAATAACGTATAGGTCTCACCACCCCTTTCCACTCACACCTCCATCCCTCTGTGCTCTCTTGCGTTTCCCCCAACAGTCCTCTCTCAAGCTATTTTCTTACAGCTTCACATTTCTTCCAGACCAGGGAGTCTTCCCCAATTTTGTCATTCTCTGGAAACCTCTCTGTTATGGAACCTGCCCATACCACCTTTACTCCTCAGCCTTGCAATTGTTGCTTTTCATTTATGTATGAAAACATGCAATTACCCAGATAAACTGAAAGGGATGAGCAGGGGTGGGGGCAGATTTGGATACTAAGAGGAGCTGATGAAGCTCCTCTTCAGATTTGGATCGGCTCTGAAGTCACTGCTAAGTGGTGGGGACGGTGGAGCCTGAAAAGAAAATGGAATGGGGAGTTAGCACACGAGTGGGTTTGTTGCTACTCTCTTTGAGGCCAAAAGGATTTTTTGGTACCTTTCTTAGGGATATCATAGTTTGAGATACCATGAAAGATGTTCAGGCAGAGCCTTTTCAACGAAATCACCTTGCTGTGGTCTTCACAGAGTCTAGTTAATAGAAGTTTTGCACTGGCTGGGTGTGGTGGCTCACTCCTGTAATCCCAGCACTTTGGGAGGCTGAGACGGGCGGATCACTTGAGCCCAGGAGTTCGAGACCAGCCCTGGCAATATGGTGAGTTCTTGTCTCTACAGAAAACAACAATTTAAAAAAAATAAATAGGCATGGTGGCACACCCCTGTAGTCCCAGCTACTTGGGAAGCTATAGTGGGAGGATCGCTTGAGCCTGGGAGGTCAGTGAGCCATGATGGTGCCACTGCACTCCAGCCTGGGTGACAGAAAGAGGCCATGTCTCACACACACACTAAAAAAGTTTTATACTATCTAGGGCCGGGCACACTGGCTCTCACCTGTAATCCCAGCACTTTGTGAGGCCAAGGTGGGTAGATTACTTGAGGCCAGGAATTCAAGACCAGCCTGGCCAACATGGTGAAACCCCGTCTCTACTAAAAATACAAAAAGTTAGCCAGGAGTGGTGACGGATGTCTATAATCCCAACTGCTCAGGAGGCTGAGGCAGGAGAATCACTTGAACCCGGGAGGTGGAGGTTGCAGTGAGCCAAGATCACGCCACTGCACTCCAACTTGGGCAACACAGTAAGGCTCCATCTCAAAAAAAAAAAAAAAAGTTTTGTACTATCTAGGATGGTGGTTATAGTAGCACAACAGTGTGAATGTACTTAATGCCACTGAACTTACATTTTAAATGGTAATTTTATATTATGCTTTTTTTTTTTGAGACAGAGTTTCACTCTTGTTGCCCAGGCTGGAGTGCAATGGCGCGATCTTGGCTCACCGCAACCTCCACCTCCTAGGTTCAAGTGATTCTCCTGCCTCAGCTTCCTGAGCAGCTGGGGTTACAGGCATGCACCACCACTCCCGACTAGTTTTGTATTTTTAGTAGAGACGGGGTGTCTCCATGTTGGTCAGGCTGGTCTCAAACTCCTGACCTCATGTGATCTGCCTGCCTTGGCCTCCCAAAGTGCTGGGATTACAGGCATGAGACACCACGCCTGGCCTATTATGCATATTTTTACAATAAAAAAAATTTGAAGATCTGGAAACTGGATCCTAGGACCTAGAATATTTCTCTGGCCCCCAAACTACCTGTTTTTCTGTTATCAAGGGATCCAGGAGACCCAGATGCTAATCAGGAGCTCTTATGGGAGCCTGGAAAGCAGCTGCAGACTCTAAGGGTATCTTGACTTCTACCTGTGTAAGTACAGTTCTGTGTGGCCAGCTAACTGGCCAGGAGACTGTGTCTCTGTTCTTGTCTGTGTAATGCTACATAAGTACTGCCAAATTCTTGGGTACGGGGGGTTTCTCCTTGTGTCAGTATCTTGCAGACCATTTCCCCATTTGTTGATACTCATTCTTTAGTCTAATTAGAGGACAGTTGAGTGTTGTGCAGTTTTCTCAGATTGCCCACAGTAGAGGAGGTGCGCTGGCTGTGGTGATGCAAGAGCAACAGTTATCATGTAGGATGGGCAGAAGGTCCCCAGTGGTTGAAAGCTCACAGTCGCCTCAGCTACACACTTTTCTTTTTTGAAACAGGGTCTCGCTCTGTAATCCAGGCTGGAGTTCAGTGGCGTGATCATGGCTCTCTGCAGCCTCAAACTCCTGGGTTCAAGTGATCCTTCCACCACAGCCTCCTGAGTAGCCGGGACTACAGGGACACGCCACCATGCCCAGCTCATTTTTTAAATTTTTTGTAGAGATGGGGCCCCACTATGTTAACCAGGCTTGTTATGCTTTTAAAATACTTAAGACCTGACAATATCATTTGAAACCAAATCACTCCATTTCCCTCTCTTTATATCTTAAGGAAAACAGAGGCATCCTTTCATAGCCTTTGAGAGTCACAAAATTTGGGCGGCAAGAAATGAAGGTTGGCTGGACATGGTGGCTCACACCTCTAATCCCAGCACTTTAGGAGGCCGAGGAGGGTGGATCACTTGAGGTCAGGAGTTAAAGACCAGCCTGGCCAACATGGTGAAACCCCATCTGGCCAGGCGCAGTGGCTCACGCATATAATCCCAGCACTTTGGGAGGCCGAGGCGGGTGGATCACCTGAGATCAAGAGTTTGAAACCAGCCTGGCCAACATGGCGAAACTCTGTCTCTACTAAAAATACAAAAATTAGCCAGGTGCGGTGGTGCACACCTGTAATCCCAGCTACTCGGGAGGCTGAGGCAGGAGAATCACTTGAAACCGGGAGGCAGAGGTTGTGGTGAGTCAAGATCACACCACTGCACTCCAGCCTGGGCAACAGAGTGAGACTCCGTTTCAAAAAAAAAAAAAAGAAAGAAACCCCATCTCTACTAAAAATACAAAATCAACCAGGTATGGTGGCACACGCCTGTAGTCCCAGCTACTTGGGAGGCTGAGGCAGGAGAATCGCTGGAACCCAGGAGGCAGAGGTTGCAGTGAGCCGCGATCACGCCTCTGCACTCTGGCCTGGGCAACAGAGAGAATCTCTGTCTCAAAAAAAAAAAGAAAGAAAGAAATGAGGGTGGCTCTGCAGAAGTCTCTCTGCGTGAAAGGGCAGTGGAGATCGCCCACAGTGTGTGGAGCTGCTGGCGTTCATGCCGAGCCGTGGGCCCTCATAGAGCTGGTCCTGAAGGTTCAGCAGCTGTTCGGCATAAGCCACTTCAATCCGCTGGCAGTGAGTTTGGAGAATCTTTTAGCTTTGCTCCTAAAGGTAGATTCCAGGCGGTCTCAGAAGAATGATAAAGGGAGGGAGAAACAGGGCAGATGAATAAGAAAAAAGCTAGAAAAAGATTTGTATTGATGCTAGAAAAAAATGAAAGCTCTTTGTGGGTTTATTTATGCAAAGTAGAGTGCAAATACCTTGACTTGGCTGTTATTTAGGACCTTCCCTCCTCCCCTGATTACCTTCCAAACTGACACACACACCCCAGAGCAATTCAGAGCTCTGGTCTGGAAAATCTTCCCACTGAGGCGTCAGTAGCTTGCCCTGTGATGACAGGTTTAATGGTTTTCTATCTCTGCATTCCACTAGGACCACCTACCCAGAGGCCACGCCCTACTGACCCGGTTAGCCAGAGCCTGAGACTAAGCGTGAGCACACAGAGGGCAGTACCAGTGCAGGCGCCGGGAGAGCTGCGTTTTGCTTTGAGTGAATCGCTCTGGTTGGCTGTGTGGCCATGTCCATGTTGCTTGCCCTCTCTGTAATTCAGGGTCCCAAATTATATAATGGGACTGATGGTTCTTGTCTCCTAGAAATGTCATGAGAACAGAGTAAATTATTGGTCTTCACCTTTTTTTTTTTTTTTTGAGGTAGGATTTCCTAGGCTCTCTTATACCAGAGAAGAAAATGTCCTTAGAAGACATTTAATCAGAGAATAGACAGAGAGAAGGCAAACTTGCTCACAACCTGCCTTGAAGTCTCTTACATGTCTCCTTCCAGAGAAGTCCAAGGGAATCTTCAGTAATTGCTGGACAGCAACCTGGAGTAGGGGGTGGAGGTGATGTATTTTTCTTTCTTCCAGTTTCCCCTTCCAGTCTGATCTCTCTTTGAGTGACACTGATTGGGGTGGGCCAAGGGTCATGGGTGAAAACGTCCCCGCTGCTCAGGTCTGCTTATTGGATAATACACCCATCAGCCTGCCCTCTCCGTGGGCAAAGCCCCAGCCTTTGTATTGATGTGTGTTTGATTGTTTAAAGGCAGCCCTGCTGGCTCAGTGCCCCCTGCTGGCCTCCATCTGTGGCAAAGAGCACACAGCCAGAGAGCAGCAGTCACTGAGGGCAGGGCCAGGGCAGCACCAGGCTTCCCAGTCACCTGCCTGCAGTGCCCAGGAACTCACTGTCAACTCCTTGTCCTTATGAAAGTTCCTCGGGTTCTCCTTTTCATGATTGTATTAATCTCCTGTTGTAACAAATCACCACAAATCCAGTAGCTTAAAACAACATGAATGCATGATCTTCCATTTCTGGAGGCCAGAAGTGCAAAGTGGGTCTCACAAGGCTAAAATCAAGGTGCTGGCTTGGCCGTGTTCCTTCTGGAGGCTCTAGAGGAGAAGCCATTTCCTTTTCTTTCCCAGCTTCTAGGGGCTGCCCATATTCCTTGGCTTGTGGCCTCTTCCTCGTCTTCAAAGCCCGTCGCTCCAGCCTGTTTCTGTCCTCACGTGTCCTCCCCAACTCTGACCCTCCTGCCTTCTTCCTGTAAGAACCTTATGATTAAGTTGGGCCCCAGCCCTGTCTGTCCTTGGGTTTCTAAGGATTTCTCAGGAATGGAAGTGCTGTTCCTTGTCAGCTGGGAGCCAGTGGGATAAGTGCATTGATTAGGAAGTTTCCTGAGGACAGGAGGCACCCAACCTTACAGGCCTTTGACACCCTCCCGCCCAAAGCAGTTGATGACCAGTGAGAGGACTGAGAGTCCAGAAATAAAAAGAAGCGGGACCCCATATGTCTGGATTATAAGAAACTCAATTGATAAGGATGAGAGCAGGCAAACGGGCTGATGTCACACACAAGCAGCCTGATCAACGACCTTCTCCCTTGCCCCAATTCTGGAATCACTTCACCAAAGCACCACCATGCTTTCCATCTCTTAATGCCTTTATTTTTAGTTTGGGGTATTTTCTATTGTTTGAAGGTTGCCTTGCAACCCGTTCGCCTGGAGGGTTTAAACAATATAGAGTTTCTTTGCTGAGCAGCAACAGTAGCCAAGAGAGACTGAATATAAACTTTTAAGTCTATTTTCTCAGGGTTCCTCCATCAGGAATGGCTTTAAACAGAAGAGCGCACTCCCCTGGCTTGCCTCTCCCTGGGGGAGGGGAGAAGGGTAGCTGATGGAGAACATTTTGTGTTCTCTTATCTTTCATCCTAGTGGAAGGGGATAAGCACCAGAATAGGAAAACAAAATATCTGGCTATTAATATACTCTAAGTCCTCCAGCACATGGATTGGGTTTGTTTATTTGTGAAAGGGAAGGATGCTTTTCTCTGACCTTTGTAAGCGCTTCTGCCAGCTGGGAGGGCCCTGGCAGAGGGAGTGCCCTCCATAAGGTGAAGGGGCCAGGGGGCCAGGGCCTAGCTTCCTAGGAAAAGAGAAAACCCTCAGACTTTTCTCAAGAAAAGTTGCTTTTCAGGATCAACCTGCTTCAAGCCCCAGCAGTGTCATCCAGGAAAAAAAGAGAGAGAGAGAGAGAGCAAGCAGGAGGATTTCTCACGCAAGAGCCAGAGTGTCCCCACCTCCCCACCAGACGTGTATCTCTGTCACCCTGTTTGTACCTAACCTGGGGAACCAGAGAACTGGGCAGCCTTGCCAGAAGAAAGAACACACAGGTTCCTCAAGACACCCACTTATATGGCAGTAAGCAAGGCTAAAAAAGGAGTGTTCCCCTGCCCCAGAGGACAAAGGCTGGCAAGAGGAAGGCACGCAACACTGCCCAGCTCAGGCTCTGCACTGTCATTCTGTGTTTCCCTCGGACCCTGTAGTGGATTGAACCAAGGAGTGCCCTGGAGTAGGTCATCATTTTCTGGGCGGCTAGTTAATGATAAGCTTTCAGCTGGGAAGGAGCCAGAAGGAAAGAGGCTTCCTCAGGGGGCAGGAGCACGCAGGCCTCCAAGCCCCACACCTGCTGTGTCATGTCAGAGGTGCCAGAGCACCCTTTGACTGCCTGAAGAGGTCTCGGCTTGCCACCCACCAGGGTCAGGTCGTCTCAGGTCCCCGGGGAGGTTTGACTAGCCAAGAGCCCCAGGCAGAGGCACCAGGAGAGGAGAGCAGCATTGGCAGGGCCTGCCCTCTCCCAGAGCAAACAGGGACAAAGGTTGGTGTACTCACGGCTGCCTCTCCCATCCTGCCTGTGCCTGCCCGCCACACCAGATACTCCAGGTTGTCCCAGCATTGCTACATTAGGCAGGAATCTGTCATCTCTGCCTGCTGGGTCACTCATTACCCCAGATCCAATTCCCAGGCAGGGAAGTTTGGGGCATCAGAGCAGCGGAGAAGGCTTTGGCATTCAGGAGCTTTAAAACAGAAAAGCTGTCGTGTCTGTACCTGTTCAGTAGGGAGCCAAACGTGTTTATTGCATGTGTTATGATGCTATCGTGAAAGTATGCATGAAAGGAAATAATTTGTAAGCTCGCTACCCTGCCTGTCTGGAAAAGTGGGGCCCTCTGTGTAAACCCCAGCTCTGCAGGCATTCTGAGAGCTTGAACATTCCTTGTGACTATTTCTTATACTACATTTCACTGCCACCCCAGTGTGTTTGAATTTGTCTCTGCGCCAGCAGGTCGGAGTACCCATTGGGATTCTCTGTGAGAATTCAAACAAGTTGGAGGCGCTGAGGTTGCCAAGTGCAACCAGGTCTGGCACAGACTTGGCGTGAGAGAGAGCAGGAGCAAGAAGGCTTGGACATCATGAATCACTGAAGCCCTGGCCCATATAGCCTTCTTGTTTGGGATTAGTATAGAAGTGTTGTTTTTCCTTCTTTATACCTGAGAATGGCCTTCAGCTGCTGAAATGATGATATTTATCAAGGTAGTACTATACTAAGAACTGAATGAATGATCTCATTTACCTCCCACCTCAAACCCATGAGATAGATACAGATGAGGACCCATGCTCAGAGAATTTGAGTAACATGCTTAAGGTGACCTCCTACTTCATCTGCAGTTATTTTGTTTGTTTGTTTGTTTATTCATTTGAGATGGAATCTCACTCTGTTGCCCAGGCTGGAGGGCAGTGGCACAATCTCAGCTCGCTACAAACTCCACCTCCCAGGTTCAAGCGATTCTCCTTGCTCAGCCTCCTGAGTAGCTGCGATTACAGGCGTGCACCACCATGCCTGGCTAATTTTTGTAGTTTTAGTGGAGACAGGGTTTCACCATGTTGACCAGGCTGGTCTCAAACTCCTGGCCTCAAGTGATCCACCCACCTCAGCCTCCCAAAGTGCTGGGACTACAAACATGAGCCACCTTGCCTGGCCTCATCTGCAGATAAGACTTGCTAGCACCCTATTCTGAAAGGAGAGGAAGAAAGAAGATGAGGATGAGTATTTCTGAGGGCTGTAGTTGTGTACTGGTTTCTTAGAAGCTAGGGCCCTCCTGATTTATATTCCATGGGGCTGTCTGAGGAAGTTGTTTAGCTTTTGAGGTGATAGATGAGGGCTGGGTCACTTCTGTTTGCAGAGTGTGGGCTGAAGGGTAAGTCAGGACATTTCTCCTCTGGTCCCCATCAGGGACTCACAGGCTGACTCCTGTGGCTGTGTTTATATCATCATTTTTAAGGCATCAGTACCAGCATGGCAGCTCTAAGCTCCCTCTTCCTTTTGCCGTCCTCCATGTGGAAAGAAGCCAAACGGGAGAACTTCCCCAACCATTTCCCCTCAGTGCAGCTGGTACCAGCTTGAAACCTAAGACACATAGCACTGCAGCCCGGCCAAAGCATGGCTAATCCGTGTTTCTTTAGACACAGCAGGAAGCTGCTCTGTGGCCTGGTGTCAGGAACCATCTCAGGGCCCATGGGTGTTCTGCTTCCTTGGTTTGACCCTGAGGGGTCAGCTGGCAGGTGAAGCCCATCAACACTGACTCTGTAGACGGGGACTATCATCAGCAGCTTATGGAAGAGAGGGAAGAGGATGTCTGGGATTTGAATCTTTTACTCAGGGCCTTTTCTGGAAAAGCAGTCTCTTTGGAAAAGGAGGATGATAGAGGAGTTTCCATAAGGTGGAAACGGCTCCCTCCATGTGTGACTGTGAGAAGGGAGTGTCGGTCCAGTGCCATGTCCCATTCCAACAGGTGGCCTCCAGTTGCCATCAGTGCCCTTCGCCATGCCTTCGTCCTGGGGGTGGCCTGCAGTGTTGGTAGGGGACCCTGCCTTTCCTGGCCATCCCCATAGGCCACAGGCCCCTCCAGTATGCTGCTCCTGCACGGTGCCCAGAGCCTGTTCCACCCCGCCAGGCACCTCTGTCCGTCACATCGGCTGCACACATCAGCTCTGCCCCACTCTGTGTTTCTGAATTACTCTCACTGGCAACCAGCACAAGCTCTGCCCTCCCAGTGTCCTGATATCCTCTGGTTAATAAGCAGCTCACATAAAGACACCAAGAGCTGTTGCAAGTGGTAGAGAAAAGCCACAGCTCTCTGAATACAGTCCAGGAAGCCCTGGACTTGGCCCAGGAACTTGGTGGCTGTTTCTGTTCTCTGCCCCTTGGTAGCCTTCCTCACCGGGTATAAAAGGGAGAGAAGCTTGAATCCTTACCCTGAGGCATAGGAGACTACAAGGCAGTGAGGGGCTTATTAGTCAATGAGAGACTTTTGCTGAAGCTGGACGACCCTTCCTGGAGGAGTCCTCTTTTCTAAAAGAAAACAAATTCCTGCCCTTTATTCTTTCAAATCTACTTCTAGAAAAGTCTTAGAGTTCCTGTTAATTCAAACACCAATCTCCCACCTTCCCTCTCTCCTGTCTCTATGAGCTGCCTGGGCGGCACACTTCCTACCCACCTGCTCACTCCCTCCATCTCCTATACTGTTTTATCCCCTGGAGTTTGGAGATGTCCCTGTGGAAGGGGACAGTGGGGAGTGTGTGCCAGATCCCCCCCGCCCATTGTCACCTTGGTCTGAATCCAACCCCACAAGGGGAGCTGGAGCCGTCTCCCTGCATCTCCCTGGGCCTGCCCATTGTCAAGGTCCTGGTCACCTTTGAAGCCTCCTGCAGGGATCCCCAGTGCCAATGGAGCCTTTTCCAAAGCCCAGTAGCATGACATTTTAGACTTGGAAATCCCTAGACAAATAAATCTCACTTAATCCTCACCAAGTTGGCCCCCAGTGGAGACAATTGCTTAGCCAAGTTTATCAGGTACCACTAGTTCTTGCAGCAAACATTCCTTCTGTTCCAGGCATTGTGCTCGGGTTGGCAATACAGGATAAACAAGACAAGGTCCCTGTCCTTGCGGAGCAACCAGACCATCAGAAGAGACACACATAAAACAGAGGGGCCTGCTCATTTTGCATGCCTCATACCCAACATTTCTCCACTCTCACAGGCTCTCCAAGTCCCTACTCTTGCCATTTCCCAGCTCTGTAATGTAAATGGCTTACTGTATGCCTCAGGCTCCTCATCTGTAAAATGGGGTTATTAATAGTATCTACCTCGCCTGGGGGCGGTGGCTTATGCCTGTAATCCCAGCACTTTGGGAGGCCGAGGTGGTTGGATCACGAGGTCAGGAGTTCGAGACCAGGCTGACCAACATGGTGAAACCCTGTCTCTACTAAAAATACAAAAATTAGCTGGGCATGGTGGCCCGCACCTTTAATCCCAGCTACTCTGGAGGCTGAGGCAGGAGAATCACTTGAACCCGGGAGGCAGAGGTTGCAGTGAGCCGAGATCGCGCCATTACACTCCAGTCTGGGCAACAGAGCGAGACTCCATCTGAAAAACGTAAAAATAATAGTATCTACCTCATAGGGGTGCTGTGAGGATTTAATGAGATACCATATTTTAAGGCACATAGCAGTGCCTGGCGAGTAGGGCTAAGTCAGCGTTGGCTGCTGTTATTTTCTCTGGAGGATAATATTTGCCAGGGAGAGCAGTGGAATCAGGCAGAACTGGACTGCAATCCTGTTTTCCCCACACATTAACAACTGTATTCTTTTGGGCAAAACAATCTCTCAGCATCAGCTTCGTGGGTAAAGACAAATTACTTCATAAGAATAAACTCAGGCCAGCCAAAGTGCCTGGGTGACAGAGCGAGACCCTGTCTCAAAACAAAACAAAACAAACAAACAAAAAAGAAGAAATTCAGGCCGAGCGCATTGGCTCATACCTGTAGTCCCAGTACTTTGAGGAGCTGAGGCGGGGGATCGCTTGAGCCCAGGAGTTTGAGAGCAGCCTAGGCAACATGGTGAAACCCCATCTCTAAAAAAGTACAAAAATTAGCTGGGCATGGTAGTGAGTGCCTGTAGTCCCAGCTACTCGGGAGGCTGAGGCAGGAGGATCGCTTGAACCCAGGAGGCAGAGGGTTGCAGTGAGCCGAGATTGTGCCTCTGCACTCCAGCCTCAGCAACAGAGCAAGACTCTGTCTCAAAAAAAAAAAAAAAAAAAGAATAAATTCCGGCCGAGTGTGGTGGCCTACACCTGTAATTTCAGCACTTTGGGCAGCCAAGGTGGGCTTGAGTCCAGGAGTTCAAAACCAGTCTGGGCAACATAGCAAGACCTCATCCCTACTAAAAAAAAAAAAAAAATTAGTTGAGTGTGATGGTGTGTACCTATGGTCCCAGCTACTTGGGAGGCTGAGCGGTGATTGTGACACTACAGCCTGGGCAACAGAGTGAGACCCTGTCTCAAAAAAAAAAAAAGAAAAAAGAAAAGAAAGAATACATTCACTGATCTATGTGAATATGTGAAAGTACCAAACACATAGCAAGAGCTCAGCACATGCAGCCTCCTGGGATTTTTTTTTTTTTTTTTTTTTTTTTTGAGACAGAGTCTTGCTCTGTCACCCAGGCTGGAGTGCAGTGGTGGGATCTGGGCTCACTGCAAGCTCCACCTCCCGGGTTCACGCCATTCTCCTGCCTCAGCCTCCCGAGTAGCTGGGACTACAGGCGTCGGCCACCACGCCCGGCTAATTTTTTGTATTTTTAGTGGAGACGGAGTTTCACCATGTTAGCCAGGATGGTCTCAATCTTCTGACCTCGTGATCTGCCTGCCTCGGCCTCCCAAAGTGCTGGGATTACAGGCGTGAGCCACCGCGCTCAGCCCTCCTGGCACTTGTTGAGGCTCTGAGGACCCAAGGCGCCAGGAAAGCAGAGGAGACTCAGTATCCAGTGCCTCCCATAGGAAATGGCTCCCATTCCCCAAGTTAGTCCCAGAAGCTGGACCCTCCCTGATTTGGTCCTCATTCTCCCAGAGAAGCGTGTTCCGTGATTGACTGTGTCCCCTCCCTCTGTCCTCTGTGCCTCTGCACTAAGTACCAGGAGGCCCTCGTCCTGTCCACACTCAGCCATCGCTCGGCCGGAGATACACATGCAGCTCCTCTAATCTTTCCCGGCAGCTCAGCCACCCCGCTCCCCTCACCCCCCATTCCATCCCTTGTTCCCCTTCCTCCTTAATCAAATTAAGGGAAAGAAGAGGATTTAGATAGGGTTGCTAAATATATTTCTGTTCAGGGGAGGGAGAAAAAGAGAAGAGTTTGGAGGAGGAGATAGAGTGTGAAATTCCTTAATAGAATGTGCTCTGAGAGCCTACTTTCTCCAGAATAAGCCGTGCAATCACCTATCTGGATAGAGTTTTCTCTTTGGCAAAGTGCTTTCACATACATTATCTCATTAAGATATGGGCCGGGGTGGCAGAGTGCCCACTCCCCGGAAAGGTCTGCCGAGGCCACTGGGCCTCGTGAGCTGGCCTGACCCTGGTCTATATATTTCACAGGACACCCTGGCCCCAAAGGGGTGACTCGGCTTTCTGTGGAGCATGACACCAGCAGCCGGGCTGCTGACGTCTGGAGGTCACAGTTTCCCTCTGTGTGTTCTCCCGACAGCAGATTCTAGATCTTTTTTAAAGTTTCACTTTTGAAAAACCAGAAGAGTGCTTATTTTAGAAATCTTTGAAAATACATTAAAGAATAAAGGAGAAGAATCATTCATAATCTACAGTTTAACTACTGGTAGTATTTGGGGCAAAACAATCTCTTTGTTTTTGAAATGCACACATATCTTTATGCATATGTGTGTAGGTTGGAAGATGGGGTTATATGCACACATATTGTTTGTATCTTGCTTTTCTATTTATTATTTTTGTGTTCCAGTTCATCAAAAATTCTTCTGAAATGTTATTTTAAAATCGCATGAATTACAAGGGCTGGGCACAGTAGCTCATCTTTGTAATCCCAGCACTTTGGGAGGCCAAGGCGGGCGGATCACCTGAGGTCAGGAGTTCAAGACCAGCCTGGACAACATAGCGAAACCCCATCTCTACTAAAAATACAAAAAATTAGCCAGGCGTGGTGGCAGGCGCCTGTAGTTCCAGCTACTCAGGAGGCTGAGGCAGGAGAATGGCATGAACCCGGGAGGCGGAGCTTGCAGTGAGCTGAGATTGCGCCACCGCACTCCAGCCTGGGTGACAGAGCGAGACTCGTCTCAAAAAAAAACCAAAAAAATTAGCCAGGCATGGTGGCATGTGCCTGTAGTTCCAGCTACTTGGTAGGCTGAGGCAGGAGAATTGCTTATACCTAAGAGGCAGAGTTGCAGTGAGCCAAGACTGTGGCACTGCACTCCAGCCTGGGCAACAAAATGAGACTCTGTCTCAAAAAAAAAAATTACCTGGGTGTGGTGGCACATGCCTTTAATTCCACCTACTTGGGAGGCTGAGGCACAAGAATCACTTGAACTGGGGAGGTGGAGGTTGCAGTGAGCCGAGATCATGCCACTGCACTCCGGCCTGGGTGACTGAGTGAGACTCTGTCTCAAAAAAAAAAAAAAAAAAAAAAAAAGAAAGCATGAACTGGAATTTTTTTCATTATAAAAAATTATACATGTCCTTTTCTTTCTTTCTTTTTTTTTCTTTTGAGATGGAGTTTCGCTCTTGTCGCCCAACTAGAGTGCACTGGCGCAATCTCAGGTCACTGCAACCTCCGCCTCCCAGGTTCAAGTGATTCTCCTGCCTCAGCCTCCCAAGTAGCTAGGATTACAGGCATCCACCACCACGCCCAGCTAATTTTTATATTTTTTAGTAGAGACGGTTTCACCATGTTGGCCAGACTGGTGTCGAACTGCTGACCTCAGGTGATCCACCTGCCTTGGCTTCCCAAAGTGCCGGGATTACAGGCGTGAGTCACCATGCCCGGCCACATGTCCATTATTAAATAATCATTGCTCATATTTATCTAGTCTTTTTTTTTTTTGGTTTTGAGACAGGGTCAAGTGTAGTGGCATGGTCACAGCTCATTGGAGCCTCAACCTCCTGGGTTCAAGTGATCCTCCTGCCTCAGCCTCCCGAGTAGCTGGGACCACAGACACACACCACTACACCCAGATAATTTTTGTATTTTTTTGCAGAGACAGGGTTTTGCCATGTTGCCCAGGGTGGTATTGAACTCCTGGCCTCAAGCAATCTGCCCACCTCAGCCTCCCAAAGTGCTAGGATTACAGGCATGAACCACCACGCCCGGCCTTACCTAGTTGTATAGTAAACCAGGAACTCTCTGCTAAGCAGTTTACATAGATTATCACATGTGATTCTCACAGCAACCCTCTAAGGTAGATCTCCTGGCTTCAAGTGATCTCCCGCCTCAGTCTCTCAAGTGCTGAGATTACAGGTGTGAGCCAGCACACCTGGCCCAATGACTTTTTTTTTTTTTTTTTTTTGAGACAATGTCTCGCTCTGCCCAGGCTAAAGTGCAGTGGTGCAGTCACGGCTCACTGCAGCCTCAAGCTCCTGGGCTCAAACAATCCTCTCACTCTTAGCCTCCTGAGTGGCTGGGACTACAGATGTGTGCTACCATGCTCGGAAATTTAATTTTTTTTGTAGAAACAGAGTCTCACCATGTTGCCTAGACTAGTCTCAAACTCCTGGGTTCAAGCAATCCTCCCACCTTGGCCTCCCAAAATGCTGGGATTATAGGCATGAACCACTGTGCCTGGCCAGCCCCAATGGCCATTTTTAATGACTCCGTAATATTCTCCAGTATGGACTTACTGTGATGAACAGTTACAGTTGTTGGACATTTAAGGTTTTTTTCTTTTGCTATGATCATGAAGTAATGAGCATCTTTGCATAAAACATCTTTGTTCACATCTCTTATCTCTTATCTTTTTTTTTTTTTTTTTGAGACTGAGTTTCCTTCTTGCTGCCCAGGCTGGAGTGCAATGGCACAATCTCGGCTCACAGCAACCTCCGCCTCCCGGGTTCAAGTGATTCTCCTGCCTCAGCCTCCCAAGTAGCTGGGATTACAGGCATGCGCCACCACACCCAGCTAATTTTGTATTTTTAGTAGAGATGGAGTTTCTCCATGTTGGTCAGGCTGGTCTCGAACTCCCGACCTCAGGTGATCCACCCGCCTCGGCCTCCCAAAATGCTGGGATTACAGGCATGAGCCACCACGCCCGGCTTGTGATTTCTTTAGAATCATTCCTATAGCAAAATTACTGAGTCATTCTTTTTAAAGTATCATTACGTGTTATCAAGTGACTTTCCAGAAAGCCAGCATGCAATCCCACCAGCAGGCGGAAGAGAAGGCCCTCTTTAAAAACAATTCCGTTTGATAGGTGGGAATACTATCCCTTTGAGTTGATTTACATTTTCTTGATTACTAGTGAGGTTGAATTTTTCTTTCATGCATCTATTAGGCAGTTGTAAATCCATGAATAATTATCACAGAGAGCAGTGTCATCATTCCTGTTAGCACTTATGTGTGTGTGTGTGTGTGTGTGTGTGTGTGTGTGTTGATTTTTAGTTTCTTTGTTTTTTTTTCTTTTGAGATGGAGTCTCGCCCTGTCACCCAGGTTGGAGTACAGTGGCATAATCTTGGCTCACTGCAGCCTCCACCTCCCAGGTTCAAGCAATTCTCCTGCCTCAGCCTCCCGAGTAGCTGGGACTACAGGTGCTCACCACCACACCCAGCTAATTTTTGTATTTTTACTAGAGATGGGATTTTGCCATGTTGGCCAGGCTGGTCTTGAACTCCTGACCTCAGGTGATCCACCCACCTCGGCCTCCCAAAGTGCTGGGATTACAGGGATGAGCCACCATGCCCAGCCTTGAGTTTCAGTCTGGATGAAGCTACTTTAAGGGTGCATCATGGAGGGGAAGAATGTTTTCAGATTCAGCATTTCCCGCAGAACCTCAGTCTTAATGAGGACTGTGTCCCTGTGGCCCCTCCTTCCTCCCTCTCACCCGCAACCACACTGTGTGGCTCTTGCAGAATTGCCCCATCTCAGAGGAAAGGTCAGAGATTGAGATTTCCCTTAAACGGAAGCTCAAATGTGCACTGTCAAGCTGTCCTGGAGATAGTACAGTTTTATTCAGGAAGTACCAAACCAAGCCAGCCGGCCCATGCCCTCTGCTTTCTCTTCTCAGGACACTTACATTCCTTTTTTCCTCAAGGGAGGTGAGAGTGGGACGGGGGCCAGAAGAAGAAACTCGCTTTCCCGTGAGGCTTGTGGCAGAGGCGGCGTGGCCTTCCCTGCTGAGCTTCTGACTGGGCTCCCCTGACTGAGGAGCCCTGGAGTCCTTGGAGCCAGCGAGGAATGCACTTTCATCTCTAGGAGGCTACACAATCACCTTTGTGTGCCTGGAGCATCAAGAGGGCAGAAGGTGTAGTCCCCGAGCTGAGGAGAAGCAGGTGCTGGCCAGTTAGTCACTGCACCCTCACTGCTGGCCCCAGCTGTAAGGCTTCTCTCCAGGGACTCTCTCCAGGGCCAAACTCGCTTCTAGGGACTCTCTCCAGGGCCAAACTTGCTCCCGTTTCCCTGCTTCCTCCACTTAAGATTTTTCTTTCTCTTGGATCTTTGGCCCACATACTGGACATTCAGTTCTGTCACCCAGGCTGGAATGCAGTGGTGTGATCTCAGCTCACTGCAGCCTCCGCCTCTTGGGTTCAAGCTATTCTCGTCCCTCAGCCTCCCAAGTAGCTGGGATTACAGGCGTGCACCACACCTGGCTAATTTTTGTATTTTTAGTAGACACAAGGTTTCACATTGTTGGCTAGGCGGGTCTTGAACTCCTGGCCTCAGGTGATCCACCCACCTCAGCCTTCTAAAGTGCTGGGATTACAGGCATGAGCCACCTCGCCCAGCCTGGACATTCAGTTCTATCAGGTCTTCCCTGAGTGGAGGCAGAGGGGACTTCAAATCCTCCCTGCAGGTTGGGCAAATGGAGAAGGTGGAAGCCCAGCCTCAGGAATGGACAGGAGAACCTTTCCTCAGCCCCTGGACATGACTCCTGAGTGTCTTACAGCAGGATCGTGTTTTCAACTCTGTCCTCTACTGAGTCCCCTTTCAAGAGGCCCCCTTCCATTCTTGTGGGATGTCCCAGCCCAAGGTGGGGTGGGTGTTCCACTCCATGAGAAGGTTGGCCATTTGAAGGGACAGGAATGATGAGGTGCAGCAGGAAGCTAAAGGTGGCCCTCCACTTTTGCTGACAGAGCTTCAGTGGCCTCAAAGCATCAGCCGGGTGCGGTGACTCACGCCTGTAATCCGAGCACTTTGGGAAGCTGAGGCGCGTGGATCACGAGGTCAGGGGTTCCAGACCAGCCTGATCAACTTGGTGAAACCCCATCTCTACTAAAAATACAAAAATTAGATGGGCGTGGTGGCACATGCCTGTAATCTCAGCTACTCAGGAGGTTGAGGCAGGAGAATTGCTTGAACCCAGGAGGTGGAGGTTGCACTGATCCGAGATTACACCATTGCACTCCAGCCTGGGCAACATGAGTGAAACTCCGTCTCAAAAAAAAAAAAAAAAAAAAGACAAGCATCCAAGGACATTTGCCGGGTAGAGAAGCAGCTAGGATTAGAGAAACAGAGATGTAGAAGCCCTTTCAGGGTCAGAACGAGATAAACGTGGGCTGCAGGCCACGTGAGTGAGCACCCACGGTGCTGTTGAATTTAGAGGTGGGCTACAACAGACCCGAGGCCCCCAGGAAGGCTTCACAGAGACAACCCCTTGAGGTGAGCCTTGAAGGCAAGATGTAAGACATGAATGGTGGCCTCGCAGAAGCGGATATTCCCTCGAGGGGGTGAGAAACAGGCAACACCACAGAGGTGGGAAGGCAGCTGGCGCATTTGGGAATTGCCAGATCGTTCTAGCTGCTACGGAACACGTGCATAGGGTACCCACCAGGCAGGGCTTTCACCAGAGAAACAGAACCAGTAGGAGATGGAGCTATGTGGCAAGAGATTTACTGCAAAGAATTGGCTTATGTGATTGTAGGGGCTGGCTAGGAAAATTCTAAATCCTTGGGGCAGGCCATTAGGAAGGGCAGACTCGAAACTCAGCCAGGACCTGAAGCAGCCGTTCACAGGGGGAATTTCTTCTTTGGGGAAGCCTCAGCCTTGTTCTTATAGTCATTTAACTGATTGAATCAGGCCCACCCAGGACATCTCAAATCATTAACTTAAAGTCAACTTTTTATTATTTTTTTTTAGACAAGGTCTTGCCCTGTCACTTAGGCTGGAGTGCAGTGGCACAATCATGTCTCACTGCAGCCTCAATCTCCTGGCCTCAAATGATCCTTCCACCTCAGCCTCCTGAGTAGCTGGGATTACAGGTGCGCACCACCACACCTGGCTAATTCTTGTATTTTTTGTAGAAATGGGGTTTCACCATGTTGCTCAGGTTGGTCTCCAACTCCTGGGCTCAAGCGATCTTCCTGCCTCGGCCTCCCAAAGTGCTGGGATTACAGGTGTGAGGCACTGTGCCCAGCCTAACATCAACTGATTATGAATGTTAATCATATCTACAAAATACCTACACAGCAACAACTAGAGTAGCATTTGATTGAATAACTGGAGACTATAGCTTAGCCAAGTTGACACACAAAACCGACCATCACAAGTACCAATCAGAAAGGACAGAGGAGAGCGAGAATGGGATCAACAGTGTTTTCCAAAATGTGAAATCCTGCTACTAGAGGTCTGTGAGAAGATGGCACACTCGGTGACTGTTGGAGATACAGGAGCTTGGTGTTAAGATAACACTGATTTGAGAAAGGAAAAGACAACTCCTGTTTAAACCCTCTCTCAGCCCTTCTGATTAACTGAGAGAAAGTCCCAGTTTGGTGCTGGCTTGACTTTTTTAACATCTCTAAACTTGTAGATAACCTCCCTTTTTTAGCAAAATGAGAAGCTGGTAGTCACCAGCATTGGGCAGTATTTATAAATAAGAACATTTTCACCGTATTTATGCATTTATTTATTTATTTTCACAATTTTCTACACACGGCAAGTAATCCTGGTTTTCTTTTTTCATAATTAAATATTTCCTTTTAAAATATATTTATGGCCGGGCATGGTGGCTCACACCTGTAATCCCAATACTTTGGGAGGCCGAGCCTGGTGGATCACCCGAGGTCATGAATTCGAGACCAGCCTGGCCAACATGTCGAAACCTCGTCTCTACTAAAAATACAAAAATTAGCTGGGTGTGGTGGTGCTCACCTGTAATCCCAGCTACCCAGAAGGCTGAGGCAGGAGAATTGCTTGAACCTGGGAGGTGGAGGTTGCAGTGAGCCAAGATCATGCCATTGCATTCCAGCCTGGGGACAGAGCAAGACTCTGTCTCAAAAAATATATACAAATAAATAAAATATACTTACTTAGGACAGGGCAAGGTGGCTCATGCCTGTAATCCCAGCACTTTGGGAGGCCAAGGCAGGAGGATCACTTGAGGCCAGGAGTTCAAGACCAGCCTGAACAACTTGGCAAGACCCTGTCTCTATGAAAAATTAGCAAAAATTAGCCAGGTGTGGTGGTGTGCATCTGTAGTCCCAGCTACTTGGGAGGCTGAGGTGGGAGGATTGCTTGAGCCCAGGAGGTAGAGGCTACAGTGAGCCATGATTGCACCACTGCACTCCAGCCTGAGCAACAGAGCAAGATCCAGTCTCAAAAAAAAAAAAAAAAAAAAAAAAAAAAAAAATATATATATATATATATATATATATAAAATAGGTGTATAAATAACAGAAAGATAACACTTGGATACAGCCAAAATCATGTGGCAAGGACACACAGGGAAACAAACTTAGAAAGCCCAGTTACAGTCATGAGGGATGATGTGGGATGACAGCAGAAATGCTCATAACTGCTGAAGCCAGATCATAGTAAATAAGGGTTTATTATACTATTTTTCTCCACTTTTGTTATGTTTGAGGATTTCTATAATAAAAGCTATTTTAAAAAATTAAGACCGGGCGCGGTGGCTCACGCCTATAATCCCAGCACTTTAGGAGGCCGAGGCAGGTGGATCACGAGGTCAGGAGATGAAGACCATCCTGGCTAACACAGTGAAACCCCGTCTCTACTAAAAATACAAAAAAAAATTAGCCGGGTGCGGTGGCGGGCGCCTGTAGTCCCAGCGACTTGAGAGGCTGAGGCAGGAGAATGGTGTGAACCCAGGAGGTGGAGCTTGCAGTGAGCCGAGATCGCGCCACTGCACTCCAGCCTGGACGACAGAGTGAGACACAGTCTCAAAAAAAAAAAAAAAAAAAAAAAAAAAAGCCAGGTGCAATGGGAGGCCGAGGTGGGCAGATCACCTGAGGTTGGGAGTTCGAGACCACCCTGACCAACATGGAGAAACCCTGTCTCTACTAAAAATACAAAATTAGCCAGGTGTGGTGGCACATGTCTGTAATCCCAGCTGCTCGGGAGGCTGAGGCAGGAGAATTGCTTGAACCCAGGAGGCGGAGGTTGCGGTGAGCCGGAGATAGCGCCAATGCACTCCAGCCTGGGCAACAAGAGCGAAACTCCGTCTCAAAAAAAAAAAAAAAAAAATTGGCAGGCTGTGTACACGATAAACCAAAATGGGGGAAAATTAAGGACAAAAAAAGACCCAATAAATTTGTCATTACCTTCCTGTGGAGTCAGATGCTATTATCTTTCCCTATTCCCAAATTATCCAACTGGGTGTCTTTTTGGTAGAGCCTTAGGCTCCAGAGAGGAAAATTAGGTTCATCATGAACCCCCTTTAGGGATGACACCTCATTTTTCCAAGGCTAATTCAAGATAGGTTAGTTAATTGATATAATTGATACAGGTTCCAGCCTGACCATGTTTCTTTATTTCTTTTTTTGAGACAGGGTGTCACTCTGTCGCCCAGGCTAGAGTGCACGGCTCACTGCAGCCTTGACCTCCTGGGCTCAAGCCATCCTCTCACCTCAACCTTCTGAGTAGCTGGGACCACAGGTGTCCACTACCACACCTGGCTAGGTTCTCATATTTTTTGTTTACTTGGGAGGCTGAGGTGGGAGTATCTCTTGAGCCTGGGAGGTGGAGGTTGCAATGAGCGAGATCGTACCACAGCACTCCAGCCTGAGGTGACAGAGCAAGGCCCTGTCTCAAAAAAGAAGAAAAAAGAAAAGACTGAAACTTTCTGGTCTTTCATGGGGCATAGAGGGAAGATCTGAGCAAGCACTCATCCTTCTGTGACTTGGAAATTGAATCCTGCATGACTTGGGGCCTTTCCCTTTTAAAGCTCAGTGATATTAAATGCTTAGAGCAGGTAACCCTGAGGAGCAGGAGCACTGAGAAGTTTCCACCAAAGGTTTAGATTCCATGCACTTGGGCCTCTAAGAGCCGGTTTTATGCCCTTCAGTGGCCTCAAGAACAGAATGACAGAATGAGGTCGATAGACTCCTTCTGACAGTTACATCTCCCTCCTTGGAAGAAAGAGGAGGAAAATAACAAGTAGCAATGCTTCCCAATTTTAGGAAGTGAAAAATAATGGCCAAGCACAGGTGGCTCACATCTGTAATCCCAGCACTTTGGGAAGCCGAGGCAGGAGGATCGCTTGAGCCCAGGAATTCAAGACCTGCCTGGGTAACATAGTGAGACCCTGTCTCTACACAAAATTTTTAAAAATTAGCTGGGCATGATGGCGCATGCCTTTAGTCCCAGCTACTTGAGAGGCTTCGATAAGAAGATCGCTTGAGCCCAGGAGGTGAGAGGCTTCGATAAGATCGCTTGAGCCTAGGAGGTCAAGGCAGCAGTGAGCTATAATTGCACCACTGCACTCCAGCCTGAGCGACAGACTGAGACTCGGTCTCAAAAAAAAAAAATTACTATTCATCCTAAAAGAAAGAAATCCTGTCATCTGCTAAAACATGGATAAACCTTAAGGACATTTGGCTAAGTGAAGTAAGATAATCACAAAAGAACAAATACAGATACTGCATGATTCCACTTATGTAAGGTATGTAAAGTAGTCAGACTCTTAGAAACAAAGTAGTATGGTGGTTGCCAGGGAACCAAGGGAGGGGGCAATGGGGAGTTGTTCAATGGATATACAGTTTCAATTTTGCAAGATGGAAAAGTTCCAGAGATCAGTTGCGCAAGGTGCGTATAGTTAACACTACTGTACTACTGTACACTTAAACATGGTTAAGATAGTAAATTTTATGCTACGTTTTTGACCACAAAAGAAAAAAGGAGGTGAATCGAATTACACATGTGCCAAGGGCTGGCTCGGTAATGAATCTTGGGGTGGAACCCTGTTTGTTGTGCAGGTGTACCCCACATGCGTGGCTCGGCAGGCTCCCCTGCCAAACCTCACCAGTCCACCTGGTCCACCTGGAACAGATTATCTGAAAATCTCGAAGCACCATCTTCACACATATTGGCCATTTTCCATGATACCCCAAACGGATTTTGTTCTTCAGAACTTTTGCAAATCAGTTATGCACTTCAACTCTCCAATAATAATGACAAAATTAGTAACTAGTATTTACTGAAAACTTATTCCAAAGGAATTACATCATATATGAGTAAGGTGAAAATTAACTGTAGTCAAACAACCTTTGAAAGTACCTTAAATTGCCAACAAAATACAACATACATGATCTAGTGTGAACCGCAGCCCTATACAGTAATTCCCAAGCAAACTTAAAGCTTTAGAATGATTGAGGTAGCTCAGAGCAAAAACCAAAAGGAAAGGTGATATGTAGATGTCTGGGCACTCACATCATTCTATCTTTAAGATAACAGAAATATTTTAAATGGGGAATCTGGGAGAGGGGTGGCTGAGTGAAAAATTTCTGCTGACCTGCAGGTTTTACTAAATTCTCTTTTAATATTAAAGCTCTATCAAAAGTCTGACAATTGACCGGCTGCAGTGGCTCACGCCTGTAATCCCAGCACTTTGGGAGGCCGAGGCGGGCAGATCACTTGAGGTCAGGAGTTCGAGACCAGCCTGGCCAACATGGTGAAACCCCGTCTCTACTAAAAATACAAAAATTAGGTGGGCTTGGTGGCGGTGCCTGTAATCCCAGCTACTTGGGAGGCTGAGGCAGGAGAATTGCTTGAACCTGGGAGGCGGAGGTTGCAGTGAGCTGAGATTGCACCACGGCACTCCATCCTGGGCGTCAGAGTGAGACTCGGTCTCAAAAAAAAAAAAAAAGGAAAGGTAGTATGAATGTCTGGGCATTCATACCATTCTATCTTTAAGGTAACAGAAATACTCCAAATGGGGTTTCGGGAAGAGGAGTGGCTGAGTGAAAAATTTCTGCTGACCTGCAGGTTTTACTCAATTCTCTTTTAATATTAAAGCTCTATCAAAAGTCTGACAATTGGCCAGGTGCTGTGGCTCATGCCTGTAATCTCAGTGCTTTGGGAAGGCGAGGCGGGCAGATCACCTGAGGTCAGGAGTTCAAGACCAGCCTGGCCAACATGAAACCTCGTCCCTACTAAAAACACAAAAATTAGCCAGGTGTGGTGTTGCACGCCTGTAATCCCAGCTACTTGGGAGGCTGAGGCAGGAGACTCGCTTGAACGCGGGAGGTGGAGGTTTCAGTGAGCCGAGATCGCGCCACTGCACTCCAGCCTGGGTGACACAGTGAGACTCCATCTCAAAAAAAAAAAAAAAGTCTGGCAGTTGAGGCCAGGCATGATGACTCAAATCTGTAATTCCAGCACCTTGAGAGGCCAAGATGGGAGGATCACTTGAGCGCAAGAGTTCAAGACCAGCCTGGGCAATATAGAGAGACCCCCTCCCCACAACGCTGCCATTCTACAAAATATTTTAAAAATTTAGCTGGGCATGGTGCTGTGCATCTGTGGTCCCAGCTACTCAGGAGGCTGAGGTGAAACAATTGCTTGAGCCCCGGAGTTCGAGGCTGCAGTGAGCCATGATCACGCCACTGCACTCCAGACTGGGTGACAGAGCAAGACCCTGTTTCAAAACAAAACCAAAAAAACTGACAATTGAGAAATGGTCATCAGCCAGTATCCCTGCAGTGCCAGACCCCATGGCAATGCCAGCCTTCACTGTCTTCAACATGGGAACAGCCTTCATGGTAGGAAAGAGAGCCTGGGACCTGATTATCATGTAAAGATAAATTCTCCACAGTGCAGAGCAGACAGGCAATTTACAGGTACCTGTAGCATAAAATTTAACAGCCATAAAAGAAGCTTTATCCATTTTGGAAACGGGGAAAAAAAACAAAGCTGAGTCTTTTGGAGAAGAAAGATAAAGTGAAATTTCATCTTTGATTTTCTCTGGGAAACATTGTAAACTAGTTAAAAGACAGACTGCAGAGGGAAGGAAACAATGAGAATTTCAGCTTTTTCTCTGTCCTTTTACTTGTTTATTTTAAATATATATGTAACTATAAAGCAAGAAAATGGAAGTCACTAGAGTTACATGTATCTACACTTGTATTTTTAGCTTTATATGAATAAACCTACAAAAAAAAAAAAAACCCCAGGCCAGGCGCAGTGGCTCACGCCTGTAATCCCAGTAATCTGGGAGGTCGAAGAAGGCAGATCACTTGAGCTCAGGAGTTCGAGACCAGCCTGAGCAACATGGAGAAGCCCCATCTCTACAAAAAAATGCAAAAATTAGCCGGATGTGGTGGGGCATGCCTGTAATCCCAGCTACTCGGGAGGCTGAGGCGATTGCTTGAGCCTGAGGGGCAGAGGTTGCAGTGAACAGAGATTGCTCATGGGTGATAGAGAAGACTCTGTCTCAAAAAGATAAATAAATAAATAAATAAATAAATAAATAAATAAATAAAAATTTTAAAAAACATAATAGTGAGTAAAACAAAACAAAATGCCGGATATGTACAAAATTTGTAAGTTTTGTGTAAACTATGAAAAATACCAGATAATACAGTTTGCATTGTTTTGTTTTGTTTTTGTTTGTTTTGAGACAGACTCTCGCTCTGTCGCCCAGGCTGGAGTGCAGTGGCACTATCTCGGCTCACTGCAACCTCCACCTCCCAGATTCAAGCAATTCTGCCTCAGTCTTCCGACTAGCTGAGATTACATGCAAGCGCCACCACACTTAGCTAATTTTTGATTTTTTTTGGTAGAGATGGGGTCTCACCATGTTGGCCAGGCTGGTCTCGAACTGCTGACCTCGTGTGATCCACCCACCTCGGCCTCCCAAAGTGCTGGGATTACAGGTGTGAGTCACCACGCCTAGCCCATTGTTGTTTGTGGATATACTTATCTATAGTAAAAATACAAGAATATGCATGAGAATGATAAACCCCAAGTTCAGGATAGAGGTTACCACTGGGAAAGAAAGGTCGAGAATGAGTTTCAAGGAACATACAAGGAACTTCAGTTCTAACAATAATGTTTTATTTCTAAATGGTGCATAGATGAGTGTTTATTATATTATTATTGTACTTTTTTCTGTGCCTGAAATGTGTCTTAGTTTTAAAAACGGGGGTGGCGGGAATTTGAAGCCTCTATACCTTCAATAATGTCTCTGTATCTTCCATAACGTTAATGGATATGTTTGTTGTTACAAGATTAAATCAAATGGTTTACGTTTTAGGAGGGCTGGGCCTTAAGATCAGCCTAAGATGAAGGTGCCTGCAATGTCTCTCTACTAGTGCTGCCAGCCACGTGCAAGGCACATCACATGCACAGTCTCTCATGTAACTCACACGAAAACTACATGAGGTAGATTCAATTATCCACTCTTTATAATTGAGGAAATAGGGACACAGATTAAGTAGCTTGCCTAAGAGCATACAGTATTACCTGGTGCCTGCAATTCTCTGAATTTGTCTCTCCACGTTTTCCAAAAGGTGATGTTTTGAAGACTGTGATAATATTGAATCATGTGACTGGAAAAACAGGGCAAATCACAAGTTAAAACACACCCCCTGTCTAACATGTGCAAAGCCCTCTCTGAGGAGTCTCATTAGCCTGGAGCCTGGTTCTAATGCACTAAGCCCTTTACCTTCCCTCCCCACTGGACCCCCTTTTTAATTGACATTTAATTGCCTGTGGTCAGATCTCCTCCAATCCCTGTGCCTCTGGGCCCCTGATCTTAGGGGACTTGGGGAGCTAGACCTATATTTTCTTGGATTTCCACTGACTTCCCATTAAATTATTATCCCTGGGTACAGTGGACTCCGTGTGCATGTGTTGCTTTATTTCGCCTTTAAAGCATACAGCTTTAATTGGGCAATCACAATGCCTTTCTCCCATTATCGTCAGCAGGGAAGTAAGTAATCAAGCTCCCCATCTTAAAACTTCGGTAAAATGAGGTCAGCAAGATGTGTGGTATTGACATGGCACCCAGCAAAGGAAAATGACTCTTGGTGGCTCACATTGTTGTGGGGCTTGTTTGCGTTGCTGTGCAGTTGTAATGGAAAATGAATAAAAATAAAAATCCCGGGGCCCTTTTTGGCCAGCACTTGGGAAGTTAATCCCACTGTCCTGGCAGAATTCCAGCTCAGGTCACTGCATTCAGCTGGCGGAAGCCTCCTTGTGCAGCTTTCAGTGGAAGGGGAACTCTGCTTTACCACTTTTCTCAGCAACATGTGCTGCAAATTAAGCAGCTGTCCCTTCCCCACCCTGGACAGGGCTGCATTTCGTGACTCAGAATGATCCTCTCTCCCCTTGCCACAGCGGGGAGTAGGGACAGATCTGGGATCAGGAAATTAAACTGGTCCAAGAACCAGTTGAGGAGATATTTGCTATAATAAAAATCTTTGTGGGTCTCTGAGTGCTTCTGCGCAGTCAGAGAATCACAGATTCCTAGCATTAAAAGGTTTTCCAGGAGTCGTCTAGTTTCTTTCTAAAACCCCATGCATACATTCCCTCCATTTGTTTTATAACATTTTATTATGCAAATTTAAAGTGTTTCTATACCTGAAGTACTTAGAAGTTTTCTCTCCCCTCCTCACCTATCTACTTTTTTTTTTTTTTGAAATGGAGTCTTGCTCTGTCACCCAGGCTGGAGTGTAGTGCCGTGATCTCGGCTCACTGCAACCTCCACCTCCCGGGTTCAAATGATTCTCCTGCCTCAGCCTCCCAAGTAGCTGGGATTATGGGCATGTGCCACCAAGCCCCGCTAATTTTTGTATTTTTAGTAGAGACAGGGTTTCGCCATGTTGGCCAGGCTGGTCTCAAACTCCTGACCTCAAGTGATCCACCCACTTTGACCTCCACACCTATATAGTTTTGTTGCTTCTTTTCATTGTTTTACAGACTTTTAAAAAAATGTTTAACACTCTTTCCAATATGAAATGTATTGCATTTCTTTTCTTTTCTTTTTTGAGACAGAGTTTCACTCTTGCTGCCCAAGCAGTGGTGCGATCTCAGCTCACTGCAACCTCTGCCTCCCGGGTTCAAGCGATTCTCCTGCCTCTACAGGCACCTGCCACCATGCCTGCCTGGCTAGTTTTTTGTATTTTTAGTAGAGACGGGGCTTCACTATGTTGGCCAGGCTGGTCTCAAATTCCTGACCTCAGGTGATCCACCCACCTCAGCCTCCCAAAGTTCTGGGATTACAGGCATGAGCCACAGCGCCCAGCCGGATTGCATTTCATGGTGTTAGAAATAGATCCAAGCTAATTCTTCTCCCTACAAATAATCTTCTATTCCCAAAGATGTTTATTGAATAGTGATTTCTAATTTGTGTGACTTAACCTCTCTGAGAATCAACTTTCAGTACCTGGAAAAATAGGAATGATAATGATACGTACCAGACAGGCTTGTCCTAAGGATGCACTAAGACAACATGTGAAAAGGTCCCAGCACATTGCATGCATGGCAAATGCATGTCTATTAAATGGTGTCTTCCTTTTTGTCCCTTCCTTCTTTTGATTTATTTATTTATTTATTTTTATTTTTTGAGACCGAGTCTCGTTGTGTCACCCAGGTTGGAGTGCAGTGGAGCAATCTCAGCTTATTGCCACCTCCACCTCCCGGGCTCAAGCAATTCTCCTGCCTCAGCCCCCCAAGAAACTGGGACTACAGGTGAGCGCCACCACACCCAGCTAATTTTTGTATTTTTAGTAGAGAGAGGGTTTCACCATGTTGGCCACTCTCATCTCAAAGTCCTGATCTCAAGTGATCCGCCCACCTCAGCCTCCCAAAGTGCTGGGATTACAGGTGTGAGCCACCACACCCGGCCTCCTTCCTTCCTTTTTTTTTTTTTTGAGGCAGAGTCTCTGTCACCCAGCCTGGAGTGCAGTGGCATGATCTCTGCTCACTGCAACCTCCGCCTCCCGAGTTTAAGGGATTCTCCTGCCTCAGCCTCCCAAGTAGCTGGGATTACAGGCGCATGCCACCATGCCCAGTTAATTTTTGTATTTTCAGTAGACATGGATTTCACCATGTTGACCAGGCTGGTCTCAAACTGCACTTTACCTCAGGTGATCCGCCCGCCTCAGTCTCCCAAAGTGCTGGGATTACAGGTATAATCCACCGCACCCTGCCTCCTTCCTTCCTTTTTATCTGCACCAGCCTATTTTTTTTCTAGAACCCTTTTATGTACCAATGAAATCAAGCCTTGCTGGAATGGTCGGTTGTCTACCCCTAGTTTTATACTGGGAGGCTACTAAGAAGAACGGTTGGGGGAGGACAGGAAGGTGAAGGCGCTTTCTGGAAAAGACCCATCCTAATGATACATGTGCTATGACTGCAGCCCCCTCTCTCCCCTCAGGTCAGAGAATCCTCTTAGAGGCTGTTCTGTGGTCTCAGAATGCTCCCTGCCCCCAAGTTGCCATGTCAGATGTTTGAGGGAAATCTGATTTCTGAGGACAGAGCTCTAGGTGTGGGTTGTTTTATTTTGGGGATGGGGTGGGGGTAGGAGTTGGCCATGGGTTTGCTGCATTCCAGGAAGAGGGAGGACTGCTCTCCTCCGATGAGTCATGGAAGAGAAACGTCTAATGTTTGCAAACGTCTCCAGCCAAGCCTCTGCTTTCTTAGACTCCTCCCATCCCCCATCCATGCAGATTGGACCCCCGTGAGAAGATTTAAATGTTAAGGTTGAAGGCCAAAGAGGCCATGGCTCTACTGGTTGAGATGGGAAGCAGCTAACAGAACGGGAACGATTGTCCAGTACCTCTAGACTCCAGCTTGCAAGACACGGGACAGGACCTTATAATAGGTGTATCTGTCTCCCAAATCAGGACATACTCTGGGTGGTGCAGGAGGATCAGGTGAAAGAACTGGATTTTCACAGGGGCCCTGCCATCTGCAGAGGGCCTCCAATCAACACGGCATCTGCAGAGGGCTGGGAGATCAGAGAAGCCACAGTTGGAGAAGAAGCAGAGGCGATTGCAGAAAAGGCCAGGGCATAGGGAGTCAGGGGAGGTCTTGCAAATGACAGAAGCTGTGATCTGTTTCTTTCAGGGGAAGATGAAGGATAAGCGGGCTTGAGAGGGATGGAGCTAGTGGGGGTGTGCTGGGAGCCCACGGCTGCCTCAGCCTCAGCCTTAGCCAGACTGCTGGAGCCAGATGGGGTTCATGATGCATCTTCCCAGATGGAACGGATCAGGCATGTCAGACAAGCTTCTCTTAGGATACATGGTGTCCTCCTCCCTCCCCCTATTTGAAATCAGGAGAGAATCACAAGGTAACTTGGGAGGGCTGCCAACCTCCTGGGATCTTTTGTGAACTATCAGGTAACTACAGCAGGATCACAATGGGAGACCTAAACATGCCTCCACCAACACCCCCCCCCCTTTTTTTTTCTATTGTGGGACATCAAGGGAGCAAGCTGGTCAGCTTGGGAACAAAGATCCTATTCTAGGAATTTGTCCACAGCAACCCTATCTGCTGTGTGCACTGTCCTTGGATTTCTGCCAGACTGAAACCCAACCTGCTTGGGGCTGCTACCACTACTGTGAGAGCAACACCCTGGCACCCGGCAGGGAAGGGAGAATCAGAGAACTCATCCTATAAAATTAAAATTGCATTTAATCACTCTTCTTTCTTCTACCAGGCTCAGGAGGCCAGGCCATCTCTGCATTTTAAGTATTTCACCATTTAAAGTCTAAGCACCTTGGGGGGTGAGGAAGGAGGGCAATGGAGGAGAACTTTTGAAATCTTTCCACAAAAATCAAAGAACAAACCAACTAGAGGGAAAAATAGCTGCTATATTTAAACTACATTATCCCATCAGGGAGCTATGGTTTTGAGAACCATTCCACAGTACTTTGTTTGGCACTGCTATATGGGTTTCTTTTCTTTCTTTTTTTTAAGATGGCAAGATTTTTTTTTTTCTTCAGAGCAGTAATTGCAAAGGAAGCAAAGGTCTTCACTAATTAATTTGGTAGATATTCACTGAGCATCTGCTATGTGCCTGGCACTACACTGGTCGCTGGGGGCACAAAATAGATAAGGAAGGACTCAAGGTCCTCATTGCAAATAATTATCATGCATTTATTCAAGAAGTTTTGATTGCATGCCTTCTAAGTGCATATGATTCTATTACAGGAAAGGGTCCCAATCCAGACCCCAAAAGAGTAATAGAATTCAGGTCGAGTCCACAGAGTAAAGTGAAAGCAACTTTATTAGGAAAGTAAAGGAATAAAAGAATGGCTGCTCCATAGACAGAGCAGCCCTGAGGGCTGCTGATTGCCCATTTTTATGGTTATTTCTTGATGATATGCTAAACAAGGGGTGGATTATTCATGCCTCTCCTTTTTAGACCATATGGGGTAACTTCCTGACGTCATGGCATTTGTAAACTGTCGTGGCGCTGGTGGGAGTATAGCAGCGAGGACGACCAGAGGTCACTCTCATCGCCATCCTAGATTTGGTGGGTTTTGGCCACTTCTTTACTGCAACCTGTTTTATCAGCAAGGTCTTTATGACCTGTAGCTTGTGCCAATCTCCTATCTCATCCTGTGACCTAGAATGTCTTAGCCATCTGGGAATGCAGCCCAGTAGGTCTCAGCCTCATTTTACCCAGCTCCTATTCAAGATGGAGTTGCTCTGGTTCACATGCCTCTGACAATTTCCATTCTCCTGGAGTTTATAGTCTGGTGGAAGAGGACAGACAATAAACAAGTGACTTAGGGTGATTAAGTGCCATGAAGGAAGGAGTATTACTCATATGTGCATTTGCCCATTTGCTATTCCTTCTGCCCAAGATGCTGCTCTTCTTGGCTCTAAATTTTCAAAGGACTCTGTATTATTCCTGGCCCTCCTTCTGTCACTCTCAAATGCGAGTCCATGACCCAGTCAAGTGGAGATGTCAGATCAGCAGCTGAGTATATGCATCTGGACATACAAATGTGTAGTCAACAATATGTAGGTGGGCCGGCACGGTGGCTCACGCTTGTAATCACAGCACTTTGGGAGGCCGAGGCAGGTGGATCATTTGAGGTCATGCGTTCAAGACCAGCCTGGCCAACACAGTGAAATCCCGTCTCTACCAAAAAATACAAAATTTAGTCAGGCGTGGTGGAGCATGCCTGTAATCCCAGCTACTTGTGAGGCTGAGGCAGGAGAATAGCTTGAACACAGGAGGTGAGGTTGCAGTGAGCCGAGATCGCGCCACTGCACTCCAGCCTGGGTGACAGAGTGAGACCCTGTCTCAAACAAAAAAACAAACAAACAAACCCATTATGTAGGTGGAGTTTAAAGCAGTGGGACTAAGGAAAGATTACAGATAGGAAGACTGCCGGGTCCTAAGCCCTGGGACACTCCAGGTTTAAAGTTAAGTAGAAGAGTCTGGACACAGTGGCTCACATCTATAATCCCAGCACTTTGGGAGGCCGAGGTGGGAAGATCGCTTAAGCCCAGGAGGAGTTCAAGACCAGTCTGGGCAACATGGCAAGACCCCCCATCTCTACAAAAAATAAAACAATTTAGCAGGGTATGGTGGCACATGCCTGTAGTCCCAGCTACTCGGGAGGCTGAGGTGGGAGGATCGCTTGATCCTGAGAGGTTGAGATTGCAGTGAGCCATGATGGTGCCACTGTACTCTAGGGCAAAAGAGCGAGACCCCGTCTCAAAAAGAAAAAGAATAAAGTTAAGTAGAAGAGGGGGAGGCACAGAAAAGGAGGTTGAAAACGACCAACCAGAGAAGGGGAAGGAAAACCCAGGTTACTATACTCGAGTGATATAAAGTGCTGTTTGAGGCCAGGCACAGGTGGCTCAGACCTGTAATCCCAGCACTTTGGGAGGCTGAGGTGGGCGAATCACTTGAGGTCAGAAGTTCAAGACCAGCCTGGCCAACATGGTGAAACCCCGTCTCTACTAAAAATACAAAAACTAGCCAGGCATGTTAGTGCACACCTGTAATCCCAGCTACTCAGGAGGCTGAGGCGGGAGAATCACTTGAACTTGGGAGGTGGAGGTTGCAGTGAGCCGAGATCGTGCCACTACACTCCAGCCTGGGTGACAGAGTGAGACCTTGTCTAAAACAAACAAAGTGCAATTTGAGACTTCTGGGGCGCTGATGATGGAAGTGTTGGAGAAGGCTGCTATCATGCAAGACTTCCAAGATGAGATGGAATTTGAGCCTTCATCTTGAAGGGTGATAGAGGTTCACCAGGCAGATCCAAGCAGAAGGAACAGCCTGAGGAGAGGTCCCAAGGAAGGGATAATGAGTCATTGTGTCAGGAGCTTGGAATTGGAGGAGACGTCTTGGTGGATGTGTAGCAGACGACACTGCAAACTACAGTGGAAGAATGTAGGGCATCTCCAAACAGGGTTTTCAGTATTGTGTGCTAGTTGCATCTTTTTTTTTTTTTTTTTGAGGCAGTGTCTCGCTCTGTCACCCAGGCTGGAGTGCAGTGGTGTAATCTCGGCTCACTGCAACCTCTGCCTCCCGGGTTCAAGCAATTCTCCTCACTCAGCCATCCGAGCAGCTGTGATTATAGGCGCACGCCACCACGCTCAACTAATTTTTGTATTTTTAGTAGAGATGGGGTTTTGCTATGTTGACCAAGCTGGTTTTCAACTCCTGGCCTCAAATGATCTGCCCACCTCAGCCTCCCAAAGTGCTGGGATTATAGGAGTGAGCCACCACACCCAGCCCTGTGGTAGTTACCTCTGCTTCCTCCAGACCAGTGAGATCTTTGACTTTCCTCAGTGAAGTGAACATTTGTTGTTTGGCAGATCTAACATTTGCAGCTCTTCTGATAACAGCAGCAGGATTTTCCTTTGAGGCTTTGTTTTCCAGCATGTGTGTCCTGAACTAGCAGCATCAACATCACCGGGGAACTCAGAAATGCAAATTCTTGGGTCCACCCCAGACCTACTGAATTGAGCATTCTGGAGGTAGGCCCCAGCAAAAGGTGTTTTCAGAAGCCCTCCAGGTGATGCTGAGGCATGCGTGTGAAAACCACCACTGTAGGGAACTACTTCTTTCCCTCTCAGTTCGTGCAGTTCAGATGGCACTGACCATAGTCTTTGCTTCCAGGGGTGTGCACAAATCCCAGAGAAAATCTTAGGCCTTTCTCTCCAGCTTAGTGCTCCAAAAGCACTAAACTGGAGAATTAGAAACTGGAGATGCTGGAACCATGTCTGCCACCACCTGGAGAGAGACTGCCTGAGAGTAAAAAGCAAAGGAAAAGCTGGGCGCGGTGGCTCACACCTGTAATCCCAGCACTTTGGGAGGCTGAGGTGGGCGAGTCACCTGAGGTCAGGAGTTCATCACCAGCCTGGCCAACATGGTGAAACCCCGTCTCTACTAAAAATACAAAAATTAGCTGGGCATGGTGATGCATACCTATAATCCCAGCTGCTCAGGAGGCTGAGGCAGGAGAATCGCTTGAACCCAGGAGGTGGAGGTTGCATAAGCCGAGATCGCGCCACTGCACTCCAACCTGGGCGACAGAGCAAGACTCTGTCTCAAAACAAAACAAAACAAAAAAAACAACAAAACAAAACAAAACAAAAACCAAAAGGAGGCCAGGCGCAGTGGCTCATGCCTGTAATCCCAGCACTTTTGGAGGCCGAGGTGGGTGGATCACTTGAAGTCAGGAGTTCAAGACCAGCGTGGCTAACATGGTGAAACCCCATTTCTACTAAAAATAAAAAAAATTAGCTGGGTGTAGTGGTGCACACCTGTAATCCCAGCTACTTGGAATGCTGAGGCAGGAGAGTCACTTGAACCCCGGAGGCGGAGGTTGCAGTGAGCTGAGATCGTGCCATTGCACTCCAGCTTGGGCAACAAGAGGGAAACTCAAAATAAATAAATAAATAAAAAAGGAAAGAGGCAGAGCTAAGAGGTGGAGAGAGATTCTCAGTGACTTTGAGCACCTGGATCAAGCTGTTCTAAATTTGGAGTCTATTCCCTATAAGTCCCTTTTTTATAAGCATAAAATAGTGAGTTGGATTTTTAACCCTCGGCCGTCTAAAGAATGCTTATAATCGTGCGGTGTACAGGGAAGGCAGATTCTGGAAAAGACATTGTGTTAAGTTTGACAAATTCTCAGATATTGAAGTTATAGTTCATGGGCATGTAGAAAAAGTGGTGGTCACTAGGTGCTGGTGTGTGTTCAGTAACACAAGCCATGCCAAAGTGGATGCATTTCTGTGAAAAGAGCACTAGAGTGTGGATTTGGAGCCTGTTACGGACAATGTCTCTGAATCTTCCTCTTTTTTTTTGAGATGGAGTCTCGCCCTGTCACCTAGGCTGGAGTGCAGTGGTGCGATCTCGGCTCACTGCAACCTCTGCCTCCCGGATTCAAGCGATTCTCCTGCCCCAGCCTCCCCAGTAGCTGGGATTATAGGCGCGCGCCATCATGCCTGGCTAATTTTTGTATTTTTAGTAGAGACGGGGTTTCACCATGTTGGTCAGGCTGGTCTCGAACTCTTGACCTCATGCTCTGCCTGCCTTGGCCTCCCACAGTGCTGGGATTACAGGCGTGAACCACTGCGCCCAGCCATTTTTTTTTTTTTTGAGACGTAGTCTCACTCTGTCGCCCAGGTTGGGGTGCAGTGTCACAATCTTGGCTCACTGCAACCTCCACCTCCTGGGTTCAAGCCATTCTCCCTGCCTCTGCCTCTTGAGTAGCTGGGATTACAGGCACCTGCCACCATGCCTGCCTAATTTTTGTATTTTTAGTAGAGATGGGGTTTCACCATGTTGGCCAGGCTGGTTTTGAACTCCTGACCTCAGGTGATCCACCCGCCGTGGCCTCCCAATGTGCTGGGATTACAGGCATAAGCCACCACGCCTGGCCAGTCCTCTCATTAACTTCTTATGGACAAAGTAGAGAAAGGCGGGTGGTAGACTAATGTCTGCCTAATCATCTTAAGTGACTTTATATGACAACTTAAATAATGCAGGCAATTCTCATCATTCTACTCAACAAGTATGTGCCCCAGAATAAGAGATGACAGATGTGACTTGGTTGAACGGCCTTAGTTCTCATTGGTGTCTCAGTGAAAGCATCTGACTGTGCCAGTTCTGATTTTGGTACATAAATGGATGTTTTCATATAACATGACCCTTAGATCAAGCTGACTACATCAGGCACTCAACCAAAAGAAAAATGATCTGTTTCAACACTGTGTAATAAAGTATTATAGAAGATAAGGAGGCAGGGAGTGCCTTATAAGATTTTCACTTTACTGATTTTGGACACTGTAGTCAAGTTGATTTTTATAATAGTTGAACAATTAAATACATTTGATTGGTTATTTTCAATCTGGAATGAGTGTCTAGAAGTTCTACTGGATAGAGACATAGAAGTCATGCTTATCAAATTTGTATGTAACCTGAAGCTGGGACATATAGCTAAAGTATTTGAAAATGAAGATCTCAAAAGACTAGAACAGACCCTAAACATGGGTCTAGAGCATGAGAACATTCAAGTATACACAGAAGTTCAGTGCCTGGGTTAAAAACTATCAACAGTGCAAGTGCACAATGAGATATACCGACTGTAGTTTATATAGAAAGGACTCTCTTTTGAGTTGACTGTTAGCACAAATCTACAGTGTGCAGCGGAAAAGATCCAGCACAAAGGTGGGCATGACAACTCCTCTGCAAGACCATGCCCAGACTTTTTTTTTTTTTTTTTTTTGAGATGGAGTCTTGCTCTGTCGCCCAGGCTGGAGTGCAGTTGCTATTACAGGAGCATGCCACCACACCCAACTAATTTTTGTATTTTTAGCAGAGACGGGGCTTCACCATGTTGGCCAGGCTGGTCTCAAACTCCTGACCTCATGTGGTCCACCCGCTTGGCCCCCCAAAGTGTTGGGATTATAGGTGTGAGCCACCTCACCTGGCCCCATGCCCAGACTTTTGTATTCAGTACTGGGTACCTCTAGGACTGGATGACAAAGTTGCTGAGGGATTACAAACTCATGATCTAGGAAGAAGCCGGGAAGAGACTTTTTTTTTTCCCTAGATGGAGTCTTGCTTTGTCACCCAGGCCAGAGTGCAATGGCACAATCTCGGCTCACTGCAACCCCTGCCTCCCGGGTTCAAGCAATTCTTCCGCCTCAGCCTCCAGAGTAGCTGGGATTACAGGTGCATGCCACCATGCCTGGCTAATTTTTGTATTTTTTTTTTTTAGTAGAGATGGGGTTTCACCATGTTGGCCAGGCTGGTCTCGAACTCCTGACCTTGTGATCTGCCCGCCTTGTCCTCCCAAAGTGCTGGGATTACAGGCGTGAGCCGCCGTGCCCGGCTGAGAAGAGACTTTTTAACACAGTAGATAGCTTGAAATACTCAAAGGGATCTCACACCAAAGAGGGATGAAATTCATTTGGAATGGTTCCAGAGAGCTAAACAAGATCCAATGTATAGATGAAGTTAGCCAATGGGAGGTGGATCCAGCCTAGAATGAGACTGCTTTAATGATTAGAGCTGTCCAAATACAGAATGGACTGCCTTTTACAATCTCCACTGCTTTACAAGGAGCTGTAGAGCATTGGGAAGTTGGCTGGGGCCTCTTTTACAAGTCACTTATTTCCACTGTCCATTTCTGTCTAACTTGCTTTTTAAACCAGCTTGCCTTTTAGCAGCTAATGTCCTCCTTTATTAATGCCTTTGAAGTTCTTTAATCAAATCATCCATCTTTCTGAATCACAGTTTCTGTTTTCTCTCCCTGTCCTCAATTGATTGAATGTACCTGCAATCCTTGCTGAAAAATAGAGTATTTCTAAAACCTATTCTTACTTTTAAAAACCCTTCTTAACAAGAAGCAAGTACAACACGATGCATAAAATAAATTAAGCACAAGTTTATTTCTACATGAGAGAAACTAGATATTTCTGCCTTTGGGAGACTGCGTTTCTGATAAATTTTGGCAACCCATCAACAACAGCTTTCAGAGACACCAGCAGGTTGAGGAACCAAGAGCATAATTGTTATGATGATGTCTAAGGGGGCCAATTCTGGGCTTAAAATCACACTGTTTCAGCTTAAGAGAGTATTCCAGCCTCCAGTAAATAGAAAGCTTGCAGAGAACAGTCTAGGAGGGCAATGGCAACGTGGTAACAGTACCAATGTGAACTTGAACCTTCCTTCTTTCTGAGAAACCTGTAATGCTGTCTAGCTTTGTTTTTGTCTGTTTGTTTTAAACTGACTACACTTCACAGTCATTCTCATGAGGCAGGTAGTTCAGAGAGGCCCTCTAGTTTATTTCACAAATTGGAAATCAATGAACTTGAGTTCACTGAAAATTTGCTGAGGCCTTCCTATGGGGGAGGCCCTTTGCAAGTCACTTATGGGCTAGGGATGGTGGGACTAATTCATTCATTCAAACAGCAGGCATTTAATAAATGAGGAGCATAGACTAGGGACTGTTCTTTGTACTGAGGATGGACAAGATGGACAGGCCCTGTTCTTATGGAGCTTCTGTCCTAGAGCTCCATGAGACACTAGGAGACAAGCAGTTAACAGCTAAACCAAAATACAACATCACAAGTAAGCACTGTGAAGAAAACTGACCGGGCACGGTGGCTCATGCCTGTAATCCCAGCACTTTGGGAGGCCGAGGCAGGCAGATTACCTGAGGTCAGTTCGAAGCCAGCCTGGCCAACATGGTGAAACCCCATCTCTACTAAAAATACAAAAATGAGGCAGGCATGGTGGCGTGCACCTGTAGTCCCAGCTACTTGGGAGGCGGAGGCACAAGAACTGCTTGAACCCAGGAGGCCGAGGTTGTGGTGAGCTGGGATTGTGCTGCTGTCCTCCAGCCTGGGTGACAGAGAGAGACTCTGTCTCAAAGGAAAAAAAAGAAGAAAAGAAAACTGAAAAATGTGATGGAAGGTGAATTGCCGAGAGTAGCCACTTTTTAATTTATTTATTATTTAATTTTTTTTTTGAGACAAGGTCTCACTCTGTTGTTGCTCAGGCTGGAGTGCAGTGGCGTGATCACAGATCACTGCAGTCTTGACCTCCTGGGTTCAAGCGATCCTCTCTCTTTAGCCTCCTGAGTAGCTGGGACTAAAGGTTCAGGCCACCACGCCCAGCTAATTTTTTTCTTTTTTTTTTTTAGTAGAGATGGAGTCTCGCTATATTGCCCAGGCTGGTCTCAAACTCCTGGGCTCAAGGGATCCTCCTGCCTCAGCCTCCCAAAATGCTGGGATTACAGACGTGAGCCACTGTGGCTGGGTAGCCACTTTAGACAGCAAAGACATCTCTGAGGAGGGGACATGTAAGCTGCGATCTGAATGGAAAGAGAACGACACAAGTGAAGAAGATCTGTGGGAAGAGCATTCCATACAAAGGCTGAGGTCAGGAACTCCTCCAGAAGCTCATAATTGCACCAGAGGTGCTTACAACCCCAAGCAGTGACAGTGGCACAGAATATTCAACATCAAATGCCTAAGCTAATTTCCAGGCTGAGAAAGGTAAACCATCCTTCTCCTGCCTGCAGTGCTTCTATCGGTCCTGAAAGAGACAGAGGAGGTAAGGGAGAAGAATTGGTACGAAATGGTGCAGAGCTGGTCTCAGAGGGCAACAACAGCCAGCCCTCCATGACCACACTCCCACCGTGCACTCACGTGCCCCTCTTGAAGCGGCTCTGATCCTGTGACCTAACCAGTTTCCACCTGGCTTCTCTCAGTGCGTTGCCATATAGTATAATTTTTTGTTTGTTTGTTTCGTGTAGGGTTTTGTTGGTTCTTTTCCAAGTATCAATCAAAACTACATGCCAACGTCCACTCCTTGGAAATAATTAAATGACATGACGTGCCTGATTTTTTCAGCTGGTGATGCACTGTAATTTGCATCTGCTGAAGGAATTTATCTTAAGTCCTGAAGCCCAGCCACTTGAGACAACTGAGGTGATTTTTCTGCTCTGCTTTTGCTCATGCGGATGGTGCGTTATTGTTAAACACAAAAGTGGACTAATTGCTTCATTCTGCAACCTACTCCGTGAAGAAAGCTGCTCTTCTTTGTGAAGAGAATATGTTCATGTTTTGTTCATGAATTCCATGCAATTTCCCATCCCCTTGTTAAGTAATGTAGCTTCTTTATATTGGCAAAATTCCCTTTATCTTGCTGTGACCTGCGCTTTGTCCTCCCGAGCAGAGCAAATCATCTGTGGTTTAAGAGCAGCTTTGGATTCAAGTCCCCTTTTCTCCTGTCGAGGGAAGTGAGTCTATGAAATGGCCTTCATCTGAAAGCCACAGCGAAGCACCTCCTAGCCCAAGTCTAGCTGCTGTGTGGCAGCTCCAGCGGCGTGAACTGTGACTGCCCTGCAGACACCTATCAAGCGCTGCGTCAGCTATTAATAATAAAATCAACTCTTCTCCCTCCCCCCCGCGAGGGGGGTTCCCTCGTCAGGGCCCAGAACCCGCTGGGGAAGAATCGGGGCTGGCGTGCGAAGGAGCTGGCGGCAGGGGGTGTAGGATGCGGTGTTCCCGAGGCGACAGATGAAGGATTTGGGTTGTGTGGGAAGTGAACTGCGGAATTCCTCCCCTTGGTTTCTGAGGGGGGCTCTGAAGGAGCCAGATTAGGATGCAGAGCGCAGCCCGGGCGACCGAGGGCGAGGAGGCGAGCCAAGGACATCAGCCCGAGGGCGCCTCGAGACGCCCCGCGTGGACCGCGCTCCCAGCTCCTCGGCCTCGCCTTCCAACCATCCGCCCACCGGCCCCAGAGCAGCGTGCCCACTGTGAGCGCCCCACCCTGCGTCTGCAGGTGGGTGGGTCAGAGAACCGCAGGCACAGAAGAGGGTACCCAGCTTCCCCTCCGCCAGCCCCGCGACCGCGGCGCGCGCGGCCTCGATCCGGGTTCCTAGGGGCGGCGCGCGGGAGGGGGCGGGGCCTGCGCGGCAGCGTGGGCGCCAGGCGCGCGGGAGGAGGGAGCCGGGAGGAGGGGGCGGGGCCGCGCCGCCCGCGCCGCGCTGGGCGCTCTCGGCCAATGAGCGGCGTCCACATGCCGCGGCGGCGGCGAAAGGGGAGGCAGCGGCCGATAAATGCTATTAGAGCAGCCGCCGCGGAGCCGTCCCCGACGCCACCTCCTTTTCCTTCGCCGCAGTTTCCTCCGCCGCTGTCGGGCGTGCGGCGCTGAGGGACCCGGGCGAGCGCGCCGCGCACCGCCCCGCCGGCTCGCCTCCCTCGCCGCGTTCCGCCCTCAGTGGTCTGCCGGGCGCCCCCTCCTCCGGCCCGGGCGGGGCCTCTGATCGCCTCAAGAGAGCGGGGAGGGGGCTCGGGGGCCGCGGCCTGCCCTCCCGGCGGGCGGCTGAGGGCGAGGGAGGCCCTCCCTTCTGGCGAGGGGAGGGAGGGTGGGTCAGGAGCCCCCAACCCGCCCTGCGGAGCTCGGGGCCGCGCGAGGGGCGGTTGTCTGGGGGAGGGGGCGCGGGGTGATTCAGCGCCCGGCGAGGCGGAAGCGGCCGCAAGAGGAGGAGGGGAGAGCCCGTCCGCGCCTGGGCTCCCGGGGTGGCACGAGCCCGCGGCCGGAGTGCGAGGCGGAGGCGAGGAGGCCGCGGGGACGGGAGGCGAGGCCGGCCGGGCCCCCGAAGCCATGGAGAACGCGCACACCAAGACGGTGGAGGAGGTGCTGGGCCACTTCGGCGTCAACGAGAGTACGGGGCTGAGCCTGGAACAGGTCAAGAAGCTTAAGGAGAGATGGGGCTCCAACGGTAGGTGCAGGGCGCTCCGCTGCAGGGGCCCGGCGCGGCCGGGAGAGCCAGGGAAGATGGCTGACCGGGCTCCACCTCGTGGGCTTCGGCTCCGCGCCCGCCGACAGCTGCGGGCGGAGGGTCGGGCCAGCGCGCCGGCCCCGCGGGAGAGAAAGGGGCTGCGGTCCTCGCCTCGCCTTCCCTGGACCTCTTCGCTTCTCGGGCCCTCGACCTTTTCGGCGCGCAAGGCTCGGAGGCTTCTCTCCAGCAGCAGCCGGCCCCGGTGGAGGGAGGGACGTGGCTTCTGCAGCTAGGTTGAGCCCGGCAAGACGTTTTCTCGTCCCCTGCCGATTTATGAGGAGTCGAGGTCGTTGGAAGGCCTCTGACCGTTCTTGTCCTACCCAAAGTTACACATCTGGCAGAAGTGATGACATCGCTGAAACCACTCCTAGGTTCAGGAGCCCGAAGTGATTTCACGCTTAGGGCTAGACCTCAGGCCATTGATTACAAAGAGTGCATGCTTCCTTGAGATATCTTCGTGGTATGCCCTCTGCTAAAAAAATCGGATATTCTTATAGCTAGGTCTGTGTTTTAAAGATATTGATGCTTAGAATTGTAGCAGTTCTTTTTAGAAAAACGAAGTGCTAAAATGTCTCTCTCTTTTTTTTTTTAACCTCCCTCTTGACACATTGCTTGACGAATTTCTACATTCTACAGAGTTACCGGCTGAAGAAGGTAATCTTAACATGCTGTTTCTGTTTTTTTTCCTCTGTTGGTGTGCTGATGGTAAGATGACAGTTAAAACACATGTGTTTGTTTCTTACAGGAAAAACCTTGCTGGAACTTGTGATTGAGCAGTTTGAAGACTTGCTAGTTAGGATTTTATTACTGGCAGCATGTATATCTTTTGTAAGTATAAAAAAATTTATTTTCTTTCCCCCCAAAAGCTGAAAGTATTCCATAGATAAATCAGAAAACAAATGATGTCCATTGGGTGAAAACATATTTGGAGTTGCAAGCTGTGTCTCTATGTTTAAAAACAATCTGGGCATTTTAAAATTACAAAACAAAACACTTGAAGCCATTGGTATTCAGAAAATAGATGCCTGACATTTACAGTGTGGTTAGGAGTTGTCCCAGAGTGTGGCATGGTCTTAGAAATTCTTGTGGTTTATCAGCTTTTAATATCAAAAAGTTCTTTTCTGGGAAGCCTTTAATGTTTTGGGTTCTTCCATTGTTATCGTGTTGTAAGATCATACTAAGATGATGTTGGACTCTTTGTAGTCTGTAAATAGAACTTACAAAAGGAATATTCCAGTTGCTTTCCCTTCCTGGTAATGGCAAGGTGACAGTTGTTCCTGACGGTGACAAGAATGATGACGGCTGTGATGGCACCCTTGTTGACCAAATTTGGTCACTGACCTTTAGGGTGGTATATTTATCTAAATTGGACCCCTGTCTTAAGTGATTCTTAGGTTGAAAGAACAAGGTTTAGTACAGTTGGTTCTAGATCTTAAAGGAAAAAAACCAGCATGGTGTTTTTTCTTGTTCTGTGTGTGCTTACCCACTTGAGTGCTATATGGTTGCTAAGAAACTAGTGAAATGCAAAGAACTACAGCAGAAAAAGGGTGTTGGGGTGGCAAGTATATTTCTAGGTTTTTAACTTTTTTTTAAATGTTCGGTATTAATTTTTTGTTGCATTTTTTTTCTTGGGCAGTAGATTGCTTGCTAGTTTTCCTAAAAATGGTCAGGAATAGGACACAGATGTTCCTAATTCTAATAGCATGAGATGCCTTTTATTCTTGAATTACGTTATTCTTACAAAAACCACGATAAGTGAAATTCACCCAGTGCAGTACTTCTTTCTAGTTAAAACAAAATTGACAAAACTTCACGGTTTCAGTTCTTGTACATATATGTATGCAGGTCCCAGGGATCAGCCTCAGTCTTTGTGAGAACCATACCATAGAGGGCTATTTTGAGAACGAAATAAACAAAGCAGTGGGCATTTATTTAGTTCAGATGAGGAAAAGATTAAATTTATACCCATCTTTTAAGTAGATAGTGGCAGCAGTAAATAAATTTGTGGAATAATTTTTACATAAATCCTGCTATGATACTTTATTATGCCATATTAGCCAAGTATTGTGTAGCCATTAATAATTCAGTCCCCAAGAACCTTTTCTGTGGTTTTCATTGATTAAAATGGGGACTTACATAGCAAACCATTCAGCATTCTGAGTCAGTCACAATGTACCTCTGATAAAATGTTTCTTCTTGATTGATTAAAAAATTTTCCCCCAGAAAATGGCTGCTGTTTTACCAATTAAGGGAAATGAGTAGACCCGATTAACTATAGTTTATCAATACATTGTCATGGGGCAAAATAAATGATACATTTGGAGCTAGTGTAAGATTTGTATTTAACTGGGTACATAATAGCGTTGGCAGTTAAATAATGGGGTCCGATAAGGTCATTGGGAACTTCTTAAAAATTAATCAGCTGACTACAAGCCAGAAGCAAAATACATTTTTACTGAATTCTCTGTGTTACAAGTTGAAGCAGTGTGGGAAACCATGCCACTGGTGTTACTATTGGGGTTGCACTGGGTCTGTTTTTTGAGTGGCCAGTTTGAGTGACTTTATATTAGCATTTTAAATTAATGATGTGTGTGGGTTTTGTTTGTTCATTTTTTACTTTGAAGTAATTAGAGGCTTATAGTTTGTAAGCATTTCAAGCAGGTTTTTAAATAAATGCTTTAATTTTTTTTATAAGATAGGACCTTGGCTTTGTGGAGCATTATAGAGCTATATTTTGGAGTTGAAATTTGAGCTCCTTTTTGGTAACTGTGGAGTTACTGCTCAGGAAATGAACTGTGTTACATTTTTATTTTATGAGTTGGTAAATAGCAAAAGAATAAGTGTTTAGGGAGTACTTCTATAGAATTAATTTGCTTTGGTTTGTTTGATCAAGGAATTGCAGATATAAGACCTGTTGTGTTGATTTTCTTCATGTGGGGTTGGGTACTGCTGCTGCATTGTCTTTAGTGTTTCATTCCTCCTGTCTGTATCTTTTAAAAGAAAGAGCACTGACTCTCTTTTTGTGTCAGTTTATTCCTATTGATGTAACAGAAAAAACATGGTAGAATATTCAGGTTTTTTTGGAGAAGTGACTAGGCGATTCTTATATACATCATGCGTCATCAAGTCATGCTTAAATTAAAAAGAATATTAGTGACTTACTTCAAATATCAAACTAAGTAGTAAACTGTTAACTATAGTTAATATTTTGCTGTGGCATAGAATAGGAAGCTATGCTTGTGACCTGTAGGGATCTAGTTTAATTTGTAATATTGGCCAAAGTGTTTTTTTGAAACGGTCACTTGGATTGAAAGAAATAAGCTTCATCTTCCAGTGCATATGAACATTAGAAATTGCTTAATTTGACACTGAAGACCCCCCCTCTATCATTCACTTTATCTTTTCATTCTCTTCTTGATTACCAACTTTGTTCTAAATGTAACACATCGTATGGTTGCTTAACTGATGCCTGCCCTTTCTTCTCTTTTCCTGCTTTGTTAAGATATTTATTGAGCACCTGTCACAGACACTGGGGATACAGTAGTGAATAAAACAGACAGAGACCCTTACCTGGAGGATAATACTGCTGAGAAAAATAAAGCAAGGGGGTTTGGATATCAGAGTATGTGAAAGGGGGAACAGTTTTCAAATTGGGTGGTCCGGAAAGTTCTTGAGGAAGGTGACATTTGCGAAAAGATCTGAAGGAGGTGGGCATTAGGGCCATGTTGGTCTCCCATCTGTCTAAATCATAAAGTCATAATTAATATGGTAATAATTTGCATAGGTTTCTCTACCTTCCACCGTCGTTTCCCATGTCAGCTACTTAGATTGACCCTAAAATGCTAATAAAACTTTCTAGACTGTGGTACTTCTCAACCTTTAGGTTACATTTGACCATTTGCATGTGTGTGTCTCTTTTCTTCCTACTAGACCCCCTTGAGTTAGTGCTTTTTTTTTTTTTTTTTTTTAAATGTAGATGGAGTCTCACTCTTGTTGCCCGGGCTGGAGCGCAGTGGTGCAATCTCGGCTCACTGCAACCTCCACCTCCTGGGTTCAAGTGATTCTCCTGCCTCAGCCTCCTGAGTAGCTGGGATTACAGATGTCCACCACCACGCCCGGCTAATTTTTGTATTTTTAGTAGAGATGGGGTTTACCTTTGTTGGCCAGGCTGGTCTCGAACTCCTGACCTCAGGTTATCACCTGCCTCAGCCTCCCAAAGTGCTGGGATTACAGGCATGAACCACTGCGCCTGGCCTAAGTTAGTGCTTTTGATGTCACAAAAACTTGGGTGAGTTTGTTTCAGTAGAATTTTCTGAAAATACATGAGATCTTTTTACTGTAGTTTCTCAGAAGAGAATACTCAAAGCATTTGATACTGGATTTGTAGTGATTTTAATTTTCTTCTGTATCTTTTAATTTTTGATTTTAAAAATGGGATAAGAAGGGCAAATTACTGATTGGTTTAACTAGTTTATTCAGAGCTTTTCTTAAAATAATGACTTGAAAGGTGGATTTAATAGAGTACTTTTTAAAAAGATTGTTTTCTCATGCCTGAAAGCATTGAATGTTTTTACATAGCTTTATATCTGGATCAGAAGGGAACGAGTTCTAATTCATGCTTTTTTTTCCGTTTTATTAATGACTGAAAGTCCTCCCCCAGAAATTATCGTAACGTTTATTGGTAATTCTCTGTATCATTCTCGAAATGTTTAATTTCCATTTCCTCTTTATTTAAAAAAAAAAAAAAACTTGATGTAAATTTCTTCATTTATTGAGCAATTGTTTGAGGGCCCAAAGGCACAGTGCAAGTTTCTGAGAATACTAGGAGCAAAATGTGCTTATGATCTTTTTAAGCACTTTTTTCTTTCGTTTTCTTTTTATGATACTAAGAGCTCTTCCTATTATCACAGTGTATAGATATCTGAGTCACAATATCATGACTGTCTCCCAGTTTACAGCAGAACGTGCTTTTTACCTTGGATTAAAATTTGCTTTATTTGGCCGGGTGCAGTGAGTGGCTCATGCCTGTAATCCCAGCACTTTGAGAGGCCGAGGTGGGTGGATCATTTGAGGTCAGGAGTTCGAGACCAGCCTGGCCAACATGGTGAAACCCCACCTGTACTAAAAATACAAAAATTAGCCAGGCGTGGTGGTGGGTCCCTGTAATCCCAGCTACTCAGGAGGCTGAGGCAGGAGAATCGCTTGAACCCGGGAGGCGGATGTTGCAGTGAGCCGAGATTGCGCCACTGCACTCCAGCCTGAGTGACAAAGTGAGACTCCGTCTCAAAAAAAAATTTTTTTTTTGCTTTAGTATACTTATCAGAAGTATAATGCAGTACAGAGTGTTGTACAGTATTTCAGTGCTGTACAGAGATTAATCTTGTGGATAATAATTGGGAGATACTCTATCCCTACTCTATTTTTAACAGTTTAATGTAGTTGAGTGTTCATTAGCAAGTGGTTACTTTGAATAATACTGGCACATTTGAAGCATTGAACTTGTTTGATAATGTATGTCCCAGAAGACAGGTATTATTGTATTTAGCACAAAGCAAAGGGAAGAAGAAACACTGTTTATGTCCAAAACTATGGGGCAGTGGTCTTCTCTTTTACTTTTCTTTGCTGCTGTTCATGAAGCTTGTTACCTTTTCGCTGTCTTTTTTTTGAGACGGAGTCCTGCTCTGTCGCCCAGATTGGAGTGCAGTGGTGCGATCTTGGCTCACTGCAACCTCCACCTCCCAGCTTCAAGTGATTCTCCTGCCTCAGCCTCCCGAGTAGCTGGGATTACAGGCATGCACCACCACGCCCGGGTAATTTTTTGTATTTTTAGTAGAGACGGGGTTTCTCCATGTTGACCAGGCTGGTCTCCAGCTCCTGGCCTTAGGTGATCCGCCTGCCTCAGCTTCCCAAAGTGCTGGGATTACAGACATGAGCCACCTCACCCAGCCCAGATAATCCTTTTACACACTGTTTAAAATTTTCAATTTTCCTGGAGATAGGGTCTCCTGTCGCCCAGCGGGTAAATGCAGTGGTGCGATTATAGCTCACTGCAGCCTCAGACACCTGGGCTGAAGCCTGATTCTTGAGCCTCCCAAGTAGCTGGGACTATAGGTGTGAGCCATCATGCTTTGCCCTTTTTTTTTTTTTTTTTTTTTTTTGAGGCAGAGTCTCACTCTGTCACCTAGGCTGGAATGTAGTAGTGGCACGATCATAGCTCATTATAACCTCAAACTCCTGGTTTCAAGCAATCTTCCCGAGTAGTCAGGACTACAGGCATGCCCTGCCATGCCCAACTAATTAAAAAAAAATTTTTTTTTATACACATAGGGTCTCACTATGTTACTCAAGCTAGTCTCCAATTCCTGGCCTTAAGAGATTTTCCCAAAGCATTAGGATTATAGGCATGAGCCACCTCACCCAGCTGAAACAGATAATTCTTTTTTTTTTTTTCCTTGAGATGGAGTTTTGCTCTTGTCAGCCAGGCTGGAGTGCAATGGCGCGATCTCGGCTCGCTGTAACCTCTGCCTCCCGGGGTCAAGCGATTCTCCTGTCTCAGCTTCCCCAGTAGCTGGGATTACAGGCGTCCACCACCACACTCGGCTAATTTTTTGTATTTTAGTAGAGATGGGTTTTCGCCATGTTGGTCAGGCTGGTCTTGAACTCCTGACCTCAGGTGATCTGCCCACCTCAGCCTCCCAAAGTGCTGTGATTACAGGTGTGAGCCACTGCTCCTGGCTTGAAACAGATAATTCTTTATATTCAACCTGTTGTCAAAATTTTTAGAAACATTTTCCCAGTTCCTTGTATAAGTATACTTTGTATAACTTCTGGCAAACCATAATTATGAACTCACATTACTATAGTACTATAATACTGCAGTAAGGGATCTTGCGTTTCAGTAATGTCACTCATCCAGTTTTCCTCCCCTTTCTCTTACCCCATCTCCCTCCCAGTCTCATGGTTTCTGTTGTCAATCCTCTTTCTCCTTACACAAGGCAAGAGGTTTTCTTACCAATAGATCAGAACTGTGAAGGACTGCCCGACATGATCTGATATGGTTGTTCTTCATTTTGGGCTGTAGTATTTTAAAGTAGAGGTTTGCTCTGATGGTCCCATCACTGCTTGCCATTGTCTTTCCCTTTGCTCTAGCTATCAGGGGATGTTGCTTTAAGTTTGTTCCCCAGGCTTTACTGCCAAGAGGGAAATTCATACCCACTTTAACAAGGTGTGAAGCTTATCTTACAGTTGCTAATGCCTCACTGACCTTTTGGAAAGGTCATAGTTACTCTTCAAGTTGAGCGATTTTTCTCCCCCAAGAGCTAATTAAAGTTTCTTGTTTCTGATATGCTCTCCTTGGCAAATGTTTGAAAGTCTAGTATCAGAGCAGCTGTGATCCTGCATCTATCAAAATTTATAACTTCCTAGAGAAGTTTTCATTCTGGCATTATTCCTGGCCTTAACACTAGAATGCCCTGTTGAAAGCATACAGTAACATTTATTATACTCATTCTGGTTGTCTGTTTGCCCTAGCTCACTGGACGTTGGTGGTGATTGGCATCTGTCAGGACTTGGTGGTCCTGGTGCCTCCTGTTTTTATTTTTCTTTTTGTCCTGCTCAAACAGATATTTCTTATTCATGCCGTCTTCTAATGAGTCATTTGGATTCATTATTGCCATAAATCATTTGGAGGAGTGTTTTCATGATTTACTAAGTAGATCTTTTAAAGAAGATTTTATTATGAAATATGCAAACATTTTAAGCAATTTTTTAATTAAAAAAAATTCGACCTCCAAGATTAAATCATTAGATGTGGTTAACACTGTTTCTGGATTGGTAAGTTTCCACAAAAAGAGGTTTTTAAATTTTTAACCACATAGACCACTCTTTACCATATTCATTATTCTTAGTATTCATTGTGGTGAGTTCTCTCTTTTTACCACGTTTATAGTTGTTGGATTGGGAAGTGCAGTGTGACTCTTACTTTGTAGTTTTTAAATCTTAACAAGTTTATAGTTGTATGAGCTAAAAGTTTAAACCTCTGCCCCATTTTCTTGGGGCAGTGTTCTGTGACCAGTTACATTTTTGGACTTAGGTTATCTCTGAAGTGCTGTGTTGCTGTATAAATGTCATATGGAGGATAACCTACAAAATACACTTCGGATCTCCCAACAGCTTTGCGGTTCTGAAACAGCCTTCAGTAGTACCACTGAAAAGAAACGGGGAATTAACTGGTTTTTTGTTTCTTTTATAGAGATGAGGGTCTCGCTATGTTGCCCAGGCTGGTCTCAAGCTCCTGGCATGAAATGATCCTCCTGCCTTGGCCTCCCAAAGTGCCGGGATTATAGGCATGAGCCACTGTTCCCGGCCTAGAATTAAACAGTTTATATATGCTCTAAAATTTAAGTCAGTGATCAAGTTGTTTATACTGTGGATTTATGTCACATGGATATTACTTGATATGAATAATAACTAAATGAACATGACTGTTAGATGATCACCTTTTACTTTAATCAAGAATTGAAGTTTTATTTTTTCTAAATAGATACATATAAAATGAATGGAATTTATTCCCTCTCCCCAGATTTTATTTGGATTCTAAAATGGAATTATTACATCAAAAGATAAGGTATTTTTAAGAAGTATAGTTGTTTTTTTGAGACTGAGTCTTGCTCTAACGCCCAGGCTGGTGTGCAGTGGTGCGATCTCAGCTCACTGCAACCTTTGCCTCCCAGGTTCAAGCGATTCTCCTGCCTCAGCTTCCCAACTAGCTAGGACTGCAGGTGTGCGCCACCACACCTGGCTAATTTTTTGTGTTTCTAGTAGAGGTGGTTTCACCTTGTTGGCCAGGGTGGTCTCGAATTCCTGACCTCAGGCGATCTACCTGTCTCGGCCTCCCAAAGTGCTGGGATTACAGACTTGAACCACCACACCCAGCCATGAAGTATAGTTTTTTGTTTGTTTTTTGAGTTTTGCTTTTGTTGCCCAGGCTGGAGTGCAATGGTGCGATCTTGGCTCACCGCAACCTCTGCCTCCCGGGTTCAAGCGATTCTCCTGCCTCAGCCTCCTGAGTAGCTGGGATTACAGGCATGCACCACCACACACTGCTAATTTTGTAATTTTAGTAGAGATAGGGTTTCTTCGTGTTGGTCAGGCTGGTCTCGAGCTCCAGACCTCAGGTGATCCCCCCGCCTTGGCCTCCCAAAGTGCTGGAATTACAGGCGTGAGCCATCGCACCCGGCTTTTTTTTTTGTTTTGAGACCGAGTCTTGCTCTGTTGCCCAGGCTGGAGTGCAGTGGCACGATCTCGGCTCACTGCCACCTCCGCCTCCTAGGTACAAGTGATTCTCTTGCCTCAGCCTCCCCAGTAGGTGGGATTACTGACACACATCACCATGCCCAGGTAATTTTTTTGTATTTTTAGTAGAGACGGGGTTTCGCCATGTCGGCCAGGCTGGTCTGGAACTCCTGACCTCAGGTGATCTGCCCGCCTCAGCCTCCCAAAGTGTTGGGATTACAGGTGTGAGCCACTGTGCCCAGCTGAAGTATAGTTTTGACTTTCAAGAATTCTTATGAACAAGACATAGCCAGTTGTTTATATAATTGCATTTTCTACCGTTTATTTCTAGAGAAAGAAAATAGATTTTGTCTATCATAATCCCTTTAGTGCTAGCCACTTTTTTTTTTTTTTTTTTTTGAGTTTTCGCTCTTGCTGCCCAGGCTGGAGTGCAATGGCATGCAGTACACTCACGGCTCACTGCAACCTTTGCCTCCCCAGGTTCAAGTGATTCTCTTGCCTCAGCCTCCTGAGTAGCTGGGATTACAGGCACCTACCACCATGTCCAGCTAATTTTTTGTATTTTTAGTAGAGATGGGGTTTCGCCATGTTGGGCAGGTTGGTCTGGAACTCTTGACCTCAGGTGATCGCCTGCCTTGGCCTCCCAAAGTGCTGGGATTACAGGCCTGAGCCACCATGCTCGGCCAGTGCTAGCCACTTTTTAAAAAAGTGACATTAAGCCTAAAAAGACACATTCTAACGTGCCATTTCTCTTCTAGGTTTTGGCTTGGTTTGAAGAAGGTGAAGAAACAATTACAGCCTTTGTAGAACCTTTTGTAATTTTACTCATATTAGTAGCCAATGCAATTGTGGGTGTATGGCAGGTAAGCAAAAATTCCTGTACTGCAAAATTTCAATAAGTTATGTAAGTGATTAGGGCTGTATTAATCTTTCTGTTATCTGTTTTTCCTGATGTGTTGAGTAAAAATATGTTTGCGGGAAGTTTACATGTATTTTCCCTTTATTCCATAAATTAATTGTTTTCTGACACAGTCTCACTCTGTTGCCCAGGCTGGAGTGCAATGGTGTTGTCTCGGCTCACTGCAACCTCTTCCTCCCAGGTTCAAGTGGTTCTCGTGCCTCAGCCTCCCAAGTAGCTGGGACTACAGGCACGCACCACCACGCCCAGCTCATTTTTGTATTTTTTGGTAAGAGACAGGGTTTCACCATGTTGGCCAGGCTGGTCTTGAGCTCCTGACCTCAAGTGATCCGCCCTCCTCAGCCTCCCAAAGTGCTGGGATTACAGACGTGAGCCACCATGCCCGGCCTATTAATTTAATTAATTGCAAATTTTTGACCTTAATGCATATAAACTTTGCAGTTAAGATTGCTCATTCTTCGCCAAGTGTGGTGGCACCAGCCTGTAGTCTCAGCTACTCAGGAGGCTGAGGTGGGAGGGTTGCTTGAACCCAGGAGGTCAAGACTGTAGTGAGCCATGATCGTAACACTGCACTCCAGTCTGGGCAAAGGAGCAACACTGTCTCAGAAAAACATTGTTCATTCTTTACGGTAGCAAGGAATTAAAATGGGTGAGAGAAGCTGCTTAAGGAAATGAGAATGTGAGAACCATTATCTTTATGTCTCCTAGTTGCTTCCTGTGACAAACTTTAAAAGCTACATGTCATTTTTATTCTCCTTGGGTTTTTTTGGTAGGTTTAGCTATAAAAATTGTTTCCCCTTCAGTGCTTACTACAGACTCTGAGACTTAAAATTCATGTTAAGTGTTGATCTTTTAGGTATTTGACGGATATAATCACCCCTTTGAGGACTGAAGTAGACCTTTTTTTTGTTTTTGTTTTGAGACCGACTCTCTGTCGCCCAGGCAGGAGTGCAGTGGCACGATCTCGGCTCACTGCAACCTCCGCCTCCCAGGTTCAAGCAGTTCTGCCTCAGCCTCCTTGAGTAGCTGGGATTACAGGCACCTGACACCACACCCAGCTAATTTTTGTATTTTTAGTAGAGACGGGGTTTCACCATCAGGCTGGTCTCAAACCCCTGACCTCGTGATCCACCCACCTCGGCCTCCCAAAGTGCTGGGATTACAGGTGTGAGCCACCACTCCCGGCCTTTTTTTTTTTTTTTTTTTTTGTTTGTTTGTTTGTTTGTTTGTTTTGACCGACTTTCACTCTTGTTGCCCAGGCTGGAGTGCAATGGTGCAGTCTTGGCTCACTGCAACCTCCACTTCCCGGGATCAAGCAATTCTCCTGTCTCACCCTCCCGGGTAGCTGGGATTACAGGCACGTGCCACCATGCCCAGCTAACTTACTTACTTTTAATAGAGATGGGGTTTCATTTTGTTGGTCAGGCTGGTCTCAAACTCCTGACCTCAGATGATTCCCCCTGCCTTGGCCTCCCAAAGTGCTAGGATTACATGCGTGAGCCACCACGCCCGACACATCTTATAAACATACTTAGTCCTGTTGAAATTGTAAACTTCTAATCTTTACCAATAAATGTTAACGATCTTTATGTGGTAGGTTCATAGAAAGATGGCCTACTTAGAGATTTGTAATTGTGCCATATATATGTGTGTGTGTGTGTGTGTGTGTGTGTGTGTGTGTGTGTATATATTTTTTTTTTTTTTTTTTTTTTTTTAGATGGAGTCTTGCTCTGTTGCCCAGGCTGGAGTGCAGTGGTGTGATTTTGGCTCACTGCAACCTCCGTCTTGTGGGTTTGAACAATTCTCCTGCCTCAGCTTCCCGAGTAGCTGGGATTATAGGTGACTGTCACCATGCCTGGCTGTTGTTTTTTTTGTTTTTTTGAGACAGAGTCTCACTCTGTCACCCAGGCTGGAGTGCAGTGGCATGATCTTGGCTCACTGCAAGCTCCGCCTCCCGGGCTCACGCCATTCTCCTGTCTCAGCCTCCCGAATAGCTGGGATTACAGGTGCCCACCACCACGCCCAGCTAATTTTTTGTACTTTTAATAGAGACGGGGTTTCACCGTGTTAGCCAGGATGGTCTCGATCTCCTGACCTTGTGATCCGCCTGCCTCGGCCTCCCAAAGTGCCGGGATTACAAGTGTGAGCCACTGTGCCTGGCCTTCTTCTTATGTTTTTCTCAAAAAAATTATATTTGGTCAGGGCATGGTAGCTCATGCCTGTAGTATCAGCAGTTTGGGAAGCTGAGGCGGGTGGATCAGTTAAGGTCAGGAGGTCGAGACCAGCCTGGCCAACATGGCAAGTCCCCGTCGCTACTAAAAATACAGAAAGTTAGCTGGGTATGGTAGCATGCGCCCCCAGCTACTTGGGAGGCTGAGGCAGGGCTTGAACCTAGGGGGCGGAGTTTGCAGTGAGCCGAGATGATGCCACTGCACTCGAGCCTGGGCGACAGAGCTAGACTTCGTCTCAGAAAAAAAAGATTCGAGTTTTTAAAAAAAGAACATTCTTAAGTCTTTAGTATACTGAATGGTATGAGCAGCAATAGAGGGTTGTGGCCTTCTGAAAGTAAGGAAAATTATAATGACAGTATAAGGTAGTATGAGGGGCATAGTCTTTTATTTCTGACCAGTGTCATCAAGGAGGGCTTTATTTTTTTTAAGACGGAGTCTCGCTCTGTCAACCAGGCTGGAGTGCAGTGGCACGATCTTGGCCCACTGCAGCCTCCACCTCCCGGACTCAAGAGATTCTCCCACCTCAGTCTCCCAAGTAGCTGGGATTACAGGCGTGCACCACCACGCCTGGTTAATTTTTTGTATTTTTAGTAGAGACAGTTTCACCATGTTGGCCAGGCTGGTCTCGCACTCCCAACCTCAGGCGATCCGCCCACCTCAGCCTCCCAAAGTGCCGGGATTACAGGTGTGAGCCACCATGCCCAGCCTTTTCATTGATTGTAATTGTCATCTTTGTTCTCAGGGTCAGAGATAATTTATCTTTTTTTTCCCCCAAGACAGCTTCACTCTTGCCCAGGCTGGAGTGCAGTGTCATAATCACAGCTCACTCCAATCTCTGCCTCGCAGGCTTAGTGATCCTCCCACCTCAGCCTCCTGAGCAGCTGAGACTGCAGGTGTATGGCACCATGTCAGGATAATTTTTGCATTTTTCGTAGAGACACTGTCTCGTTATGTTCAGCCCAGGTTGGTCTGGAACTCTTGGGCTCAAGCAGTCCTCTTACCTCAGCCTCCCAAAAGTGCTGGGATTACAGGCATGAGCTACTGTGCTCAGCTGATAATTTAAGCACATGCAAAATACAGTGCTCATGGGATATTTGTTTAACCTTGAGCAGTCCAGTTAAATTCCACCCAACATGATCTTGAAGGGTAAGAATGTCTGATATGAGATTGAAATTAACTTTATCATGAATTTCCCAATTAAGGTTTTTTTATACTTTTTCTGGGGTATATACATCAAAACTGAGGTACACGTGTTACCAGCTTTCATCTTTGTGTCATTTGATTCTCTTTAGGCTGGTTTGATTCTACAACTTCCATTCTGAAATCGGGAAGAAAATTACTGTGACTTCTAACGGTTGATAGTTCATATATGATGTCATGAGAAATATATAGCTTGGGACTGGCAGTGCTATGATGAGAGTCCAGCCATTCATTGGTCTTTACAACTGGAGGGATAGTTCTTAGAATTTGTGAGAGATACTCATCACTCATAGCATTTACTGTGTGCCCAAACACAATCTAAGCATGTTACATATGACTTCTTATCCTCACAAACCTTGAGGTAGGAACTGTTAGTGTTGTCATTTTATAGACAGTAAACTTGTGTGTTGTGTAACCTCTCTACAGTGACATAGCTGTTAAGAGCCTGTATTGAACCTGGGCAGCTTAGCCCAGAGTTGGGTTGGGTTGGGGTTTTTTTTGTTTTGTTTTGTTTTGTTTTTTTGACATAGTCTCTTTCTGTTGCCCAGGCTGGAGTGCAGTGGCAGGATCTCGTCTCACTGCAGCCTCCGCCTCTCGGGTTCAAGCGATTCTTCTGCCTCAGCCTCCTGAGCCCAGACTATTAAGCTGTACTGCCTCTCATGAGACAGAATTGATTTTAAATGGCAGGGGGATTTGGCTAAAGGTGAAAGCTGTGTTTTACAGTCTTAGGGACAGCAGAGTCTGTAATTGCTTTTCCTCATTGTTTTATCCCCTTAGCTTAATTGAGGGTACTTAACGTTTCGTTTTTAATACAAATTAATAAATGTCCTTGTGTCTGTTGCCTTAGATGTGAATTGTTTAGTACAAATGTTACTGGTGGGCTTCCTTTCTTTTTAAAGATTAGACCTCTAACATTTTATTCCTTGGGTTAGAAATAATTGCAGTGTCAGGCAGGTCTTTACTACTCTTCTGTTTTCTTTTATACAGGAAAGAAATGCTGAAAATGCCATCGAAGCCCTTAAGGAATATGAGCCTGAAATGGGCAAAGTGTATCGACAGGACAGAAAGAGTGTGCAGCGGATTAAAGCTAAAGACATAGTTCCTGGTGATATTGTAGAAATTGCTGGTGAGTTGAGTTTGTCATTTTTCTTTTATTCTAGATAGTATTTCTGAATGTAGTCCTTTTCTCAAGGCTCATAATTATATTTAAAATAATTGTTTTCATGTATCAATTAACACATTTTATTGCCATTCATACAAATCCTACATTCTCTAAAATTATTTTGAAATGTTTTAGCACCTCCCTTCCTGTCATTGATAAGGCTTTTGGTTTTTGTTTTTAAACAAGGTATTTTGAATTCTACTTGTTTAAATACATTGTAGAACACAAGTGCTAGAGAGGTAAAACCTAATGTTGATTTGACAGTTAGTTATAGTGAACAATTTGTTAGAATACTGGCTAATGACGACACAGTTTTTCCTGTTTTGTTTCTTGGCACCAAAGTTCATGGTCAAGGGTAATTTCTTGACTCTGAAAGCTATGCTTGGCCAGGCTTGGTAGCTCACGCCTGTAATCCCAGCACTTTGGGATGCCGAGGCAGGCAGATCACGAGGTCAAGAGATTGAGACCACCCTGGCCAACATGAAACCTCATCTCTACTAAAAATGCAAAAATTAGCCGGGCATGATGGTGTGTGCCTGTAGTCCCAGCCACTTGTGAGGCTGCAGCAGGAAGAATCGCTTGAACCTGGGAGGCGGAGGTTGCAGTGAGCTGAGATCGCACCACTGCACTCCATCTTGATGACAGAGTGAGACTTCATCTCAAAAAAAAAAAAAAAAAACAGTATGCTTAAAAATACTTATGTGTTACACTGAGCCAGGAGTCTCTGCCTGAATTCCAGAGATAGCTTCAAAGAGTCCATGAATCCACTGTGAGTCCAGAATGCTCCACAGACCTCCAAGGGTCAGTATCCTCACTGCTGTAGATTAGTGCTGTTTTTTTGTTTTGTTTTGTTTTGTTTTTTGAGATGGGAGTCTCACTCTGTTACCCGGGCTGGAGTGCAGTGGCATGATCTCAGCTCACTGCAACCTCCACCTCCCAAGCTCAAGCGATCCTCCCACTTTGCCCCCCAAATAGCTGGTACCACAGATGCATGCCACTACACTCGCCTAATTTTTATATTTTTTGTAGAGAGGGAGTTTTGCCATGTTGCTCAGGCTAGTCTCAAACTCCTGAGCTCAAGTGATCCTGCCTTAGCGTCCCAAAGTGCTGGGATTACAGGTGTGCCCAGCAGCCATATTTCTGACAGTCCAAAATCACAACACCCCTGGGACCAACCAGGATAGTCTAGGTGGGTTGTTTGTTTTGGCTATTTCACTTAGAGAGTCATTGCATACTGTTATTCAGATTATCTGGCTTTTCATACCCTTCTGAGTTAAGTATACTATTTACTTTGTTGCTATTTGTGAATTATCTCATAGTAATATGCTTTTATATTGACTTGGGAAGGGTGTGCTTTGTCTTTATTGTCTTACTCATTTTAATGAATTGAAAGAGCTGCATTCCTTAACCCATGCTCTACAACTTTGGCCTCTGAAAGGAAATTGCCTTGTCCTATTCTCTCATCCAGAAATTTTTGTTGTTCCTCCAGAAAAAAAGGATAGTGTTACATATATGCCAGTAAGCCAATTATTTGGGACTGTGTAGTGTTTGTGTGTAAATGGTGTGTGTAAATGATTTAACAGCTTCCTTAAGTATAGTGTTAAGAAGAGTACAACTCAGAATGAAATGTCTTGGCTATTGGATTTTTTAAAACTTCCTGTTTTGGCCAGGCGTGGTGGCTCATGCCTGTAATCCCAGCACTTTGGGAGGCTGAGGTGGGCAGATCATGAGGTCAAGAGATCGAAACTATCCTGGCCAAAATGGTGAAACCCTGTCTCTACTGAAAATACAGAAATCAGCTGGGCATGGTGGCTCCCACCTGTAGTCCGAGCTCCTCGGGAGGCTGAGGCAGGAGAATCTCTTAAACCCAGGAGGCAGAGGTTGCAGTGAGCCGAGGTCGTGCCATTTCACTGCAGCCTGGGCGACAGAGCCCCAGACTCCATCTCAAAAAAACAAATTTTCTGTTTTGACACAAATGTTATACTATCACAGATGTATTATTTTTTCACTCTGTATACACACATTTTTGTATGAACTGTTGAAGGGTATATTGCAGGCATGATGCCCCTTTAACTCCTAAATAACATTTGTTTTATAGTATCAAGGATGTTCTCTTATATAACCTCAGTATGATTATCAGAATTAGGAAATTGATGCAATAGTATGTAAGATCTTATTCAGAATTTACCAGTTATCACTTTTTTTGATGAGGGGAAGACAGGGTCTCAATCTGTCACCCAGGCTGGAGTGCAGTGGCACCATCACGGCTCACTGCAGCGTTGACCTCCTGGGCTCAAGTGATTCTCCCACCTCAGCCTCCTGAATAACTGGGATCACAGGCATGAGCAACCAAGCTCCTAGCTAAGTTTTGTATTTTTTTGTAGAGATGGGTCTTGCCCTGTTGCCCAGGCTGGTCTCTCAAACTCCTGGGCTCAGGCAGTCCTGCCTCAGCCTCCCAAAATGCTGGGATTACAGACGTGAGCCCACTGCGCCTGGCCCACATTTTTTTTAATAGCAAAAAATATTTGAATTAGGGAATTCTGATGGTGATGAAGAAAATAGGTCAGAATGGGGAAGGCTGAAGATATAGGGAGGCTATTTTAGTAGTCTAGGCAAGAGATAATGAGGACAGTAACATTAAGAATAATGAAGGAAAGATTTTTGAGTTCATGAATAGTGGCTCTTAAGCAGGAGTGCACATCACAATCATCTGGGGGCACTCTTTTTAAAAAAGTTTTTGGCAGGTCTCAACCTAGAATATTAACTCTGAATCTCCATTGGGTACAGAGTTCTGATCGTGAGTAGTTCAAAGAGTGAGCCTCTGACTTAGTTACAAAACAGCAGATTTGTTTTGTTTTGTTTTGAGATGGAGTTTCGCTCTTGTTGCCCAGGCTGGAGTGCAATGGCACCATCACGGCTCACTGCAGCATTGACCTCCTGGGCTCAAGTGATTCTCCCACCTCAGTCTCCTGAAAAACTGGGATCACAGGCATGAGCCACCATGTACCTGGCTAAGTTTTGTATTTTTTTTGTAGAGATGGGTCTTGCCATGTTGCTCAGGCTTGTCTCTCAAACTCCTGGGCTCAGGCAGTCCTGCCTCAGCCTCCCAAGTAGCTGGGATTACAGGCATGCGCCATCATGCCCAGCTAATTTTGTATTTTTAGTAGATGTGGGGTTTCTCCATGTTGGTCAGGCTGATCTCGAACTCCCGACCTCAGGTGGTCCGCCCGCCTCAGCCTCCCAAAGTGCTGGGATTACAGGAGTGAGCCACCACGCACGGCCTAAAGCAGCTCCTTCCGTCAGTCTGTCCGTCCGTCTGTCCTTCCTTCCTTCCTCCCCCTTTCCCTCCCCTCCCCTCCCCTCCCCTCCCCTCCTTCTGTCCTCCCTCTTTTCCTTCTTTCTCGCTCTCTCTTTTTTTTTTTTTTTTTTTTAACTTGGAGACAGGGGCTTGCTCTCTTGTCCAGGCTACAGTGGAGTAGTGTGATCACTGCGACCTCGAACTCCTTGGCTTCAAGGGGGTCCTCCTGCCTCAGCCTCCTGAGTAGCTGGTAATACAGGCACATGACACCATGCCCAGCTTTTTTTTTTTTTTTTTTTTAAAGACGGAATCTTGAACTGTCGCCCAGGCTGGAGTGCAGTGGCACGATTGCGGCCCACTGCAAGCTTCGCCTCCCAGGTTTACGCCATTCTCCTGCCTCAGCCTCCCCAGTAGCTGTGACTGCAGGTGCCCACCAACACTCCCAGCTAATTTTTTGTATTTTTAGTAGAGACAGGGTTTCACTGTGTTAGCCAGGATGACCTCGTGATCCTCCCGCCTCAGCCTCCCAAAGTGCTGGGATTACTTACAGGTGTGAGCCACCATGCCCGGCCTTTTTTTTTTTTTTTTTTTAAAGTAAAGATGGGGTCTTGCTTTGTTGTCCAGGCTGGTCTTGAACTTCTGGGCTCAAGCGATCCTCCTCCTCCTGCCTTGGCCTTCCAAAGTGTTGTAATTACAGGTGTGAGCCACTGTACCTGGCTCAAAGCAACAGATTTTGATAATAGATAGGAGAGTGTGTAAATCAAAGATACTGGCAAGATTTCTAGTTTACGTGACTGGGTGTGATGATGGTACTCTACTACCTACAGAAGGAAACATTGGAAAGGAGATTGTTTTTCCACAAATATATGTGGTGGGTGAGGTTGTAGATGACATCACCTAAATATGTGTATGAGATTCTGTTTGATTTTATGCTTACAGTTTCTCCAGCTTCTTCTTGTTTAATTTTTTTAAAAAAATAGAGACAGAGTCTAGCTATGTTGCCTAGGCTGGTCTCAAACTCCTGGCCTCAAGTGATCCTCTTGCCTTGGCCTCCCAAAGTTCTGGGATTTACAGGTGTGAGCCACTGTGCTCTGCCTTGTTGGGCTGTTTTAGTGTGTTGAGTCTACTTGAAGCCTTAGAGAAATTACCCCCAAAGCCTTTATCCTTAGTTTGCATCAGTAGATGGCAATGGTAGACAGCTTCAGAGGAAACTACAACTGTGATACCTCAAAGCACCATCCTTTTTGAAGAAAGAGACAAAAGCCAGCTTCTCTTCAGTTGGTGATTCTGGTTTCTCTGTATCTTTGAATCCTGATTCTTGCCAGTCCTTCCCGTCTTTTGTAAGACACTCTAACCTAATTAACTGTGAGAAACTTGGAAGTCATCTTGATTTTTTCCCCCCTCTTATCCTCTGATTTGTCCGTAAGGCCACTGATTCTGTCTCCAGAACACACCCAAGTTCGTGAACTCCGTTTCCTTGGTCAGCACACTAGTCTAGCCATCATCTCACACCGCAGCTGTCATCATCTCCTAACTAGGCTCTGGCTTCCTTTGTTGTCTTCCTCCAGTCCATTCTCCACACAAGTGCCAGAGTGGTTTCTTAAAGGTTGTGTTATTTATTCATCTGCTAAAAAACCCTTAAGGGACTTCCCCATTGCACTTAAAATACAAAATTCTCTGACCTGATAAACTTGCATTGTGTGTATGTACCTCCTGCTTTCTTCTATGATTTCATCTTGTGCTGCTCCTTCATGTTGCAGACATCCAGGCCTTTTTTTCAGTTTTCAGTACCACCAAAGTCACCTTTTTTTGGAAGGTTAGGCAAATTTTATAGAGTTTATTAATTTGCTCAATGCACTGATCTTATGGTGGTGAAGCTTTGATTATTACCCTGACCTATCTCGCTTTCTCACACTGAAATTTCATTTTCTATATTGTAATATAGTTTTGTTGTTGCATTTGATAGTTTAGAAAGGACAAATAATGTTTGATCTATAGTGTATGTGACTTAAGATTTTCAGTCTAATGGGATTTTCCTTATTTATATTGTGGTAAAGTATACATATTATAAACTTACCCATTTTAACCATTTTTAAGCGTGCAGTTCTGTGGCATTAAGTACATTCACATTGTTTTGGGACTGTCACCATCCAGAACTTTTATCTTCCCTAACTGAAATGTACACCTTAAACACTGACTTCCAGTTCCCCTCTTCCCTGGCCCCTGGCAACCATTCCCTTTATTTGAATATTCAAAAGACAATGAATTTAATATTCAAAAAAAACCTGAGTTTAAATCCCTTAGGTGAATATACTACTACTATAAAGTGGAGTACAAATTTAAATCCATTTTCCTTTCACCTGTTTCTGAATCCTTCATAGATAGTGCTGATTCTGGTAGTTATTTACCACTTTTTTTCCCCAGCTCTTCCCCCACAGTATGGTAATTGCTAAAAAGCGTATATATTGCTTTGACGTTGGGCTCTGTTTTTCTTTAATTTTTATTTTTATTACTATTATTATTATTATTATTATTATTACTATTTTGAGACAGGGTCTCACTCTGCTGTGCAGGCTGGAATGCAGTAGCGTGATCTCGGTTCACTGCAACCTCTGCCTGCCTGTTCAAGTGATTCTTGTGCCTCAGCCTCCCAATTAGCTGGGCTCACCAGCATGCACCACCACACCCAGCTGATTTTTGTAGTTGTAGTAGAGATGGGGTTTTGCCATATTGGCCAGGCTGGTCTCAAACTCCTGGCCTCGTGACCCACTCACCTCGGCCTCCCAAAGTGCTGGGATTACAGGCGTGAGCCACCGTGCCTGGCCTATTATTATTTTAGTTAAGCCCAGCTGTGTGAGACATTGGGCTCTTAAGTGCTGCTTGCTTTCGTCTTAAATTGTGACCTTTTTAACTGAGTAATGCAGAACAGACATCTAGGTTTAGAATGTATGTGGGCATTTTATTAAATACTGTTGTCATACTACTAGGCAGTGAGCACCTTAAGGACAGAACTGTCATATTGACTGTTGTAACGTTATCGTAAGTTCTCTATGAATGAAATTTGAAATCAGAAGTATATGATAGGCTCAGCTAATGTAAACATAGTTGCTGTGCAGAACAAACAGTTGAAGTGTATGTGTGTGTTCAATACAATTATTATTATAATATTATACAGACAGAGTCTTGTTCTGTCACCCAGGCTCTAGTGCAGTGGTGTGATCTCGGCTCACTGCAACCTGTGTACCTCCCAGTTTCAAGTGATTCTCCTGCTTCAGTCTCCCGAGTAGCTGGGATTACAGGCTTGGGCCATTATGCCTGGCTTGCTTGCTTTTTTGTTTGTTTGTTTGTTTGTTTGTTTTGAGACGAGTCTCGCTCTGTTGCCAGGCTGGAGTGCAGTGGCATGATCTTGGCTCACTGCAACCTCCGACTCCCTGGTTCAAGCGATTCTCCTGCCTCAGCCTCCCGAGTAGCTGAGATTATAGGCACGTACCACCACGCCCAGCTAATTTTTGTATTTTTTAGTAGAGACGGGGTTTCACCGTGTTGGCCAGGATGGTCTCAAGCCCCTGACCTCGTGATCCATCCTCCTCGGCCTCCCAAAGTGCTGGGATTGATTACAGGCATGAGCCACCGCGCCCAGCCACGCCTGGCTAATATTTTTGTATTTTTAGTAGAGGCAGAGTTTGGCCATGTTGGCCCGGCAAGTCTTGAATTTCTGGCCTCAAGCGATCCACCTGCCTCAGCCTCCCAAAGTGCTGGGATTACAGGCGTGAGCCACTGCACCTGGCCTTCAATACAATTATTGAATGCCAGATTATTAGTATATTCAAGGTCTGTGTGATCCTCATTATTATCTTAATTCCAGAACATTTTCATCACCCTCAGAAAAACCCATACCCATTAGCAGTTGTTGCCCTGTTTTCCTCCCACCAGTTCCTGACAACCACAGTTTATTATCTGTTTTGTGGATTACTGTCTGTTTTTCTGGATATTGCATATAAATGGAGTCAATCTTGGTGACTGGCTTTCTCTTAGCATAGTGTTACATTTCGTTCATGAATATAGCATGTATTTCATTCCTTACTGCTGAATAATGTTTATTAGTTGATGGACATTTGGGTTGTTTCCAGTTTTGGTCTATTATGAGTAATGAATAGTGCTATAACTTGTACATACATGCTTGTACTAATTTTTGTGTGAACATAACATTTTCTCTCTGTTAGGTATGTACCTAAGCATGGAATTATGGGGCCTATAGTGACTCTATACTTAACATTTTGAGCAGCTACCAAACTGTCTTTCAGAATGGTGGTGATATTGTTCTACATTCCCACCAACAATGTATACAAGTTCCAGTTTCTCTACATCCTTGTCAAGACATGTCATTGTCTATCGTTTTAAAGTTTTACCCAGGAAGTGAGTATCATTGTGGTTTTGACGTCCGTTTCCCTAATTTCTTAATGATGTTGGGCATCTTTTCATGTGGCTATTGTCCATCGGTGTGTTTTCTTTGGAGAAATGCCTGTTTAAATTAGGTTATTTGTCTTTTTAATGTTGAGGTATAAGAATTCTTTACATATCCTGCCTTATGAGGTGTGATTAGCAAAATTTTTTCCCCATTCTATAGGGATTCCTTTTTTTCACTTTCTTGATGGCATACTTTGTAACATACAAGTTTTTAATATGATAAAGTCCACTTATACATTGTTGTTGCTTGTGCTTTTGGTGTGATGTCTAAGAAACTGTTGCCAATTGAAGGTCACAAAGACTTTATATATTAGCCAGTATATATGATCCAGGCGTCGTGGCTCATACCTATATGATCCCAGCACTTTGGGAGGCTGAGGCAGGAAAAACCACTTTTTTTTTTCTTTTTGAGACGGAGTCTTGCTCTGTTGTCCAGGCTGGAGTGCAGCGAGTGGCATGATCTCGGCTCAGTGCAACCTCCGCCTCCTGGGTTCAAGCGATTCTCCCGCCTCAGTCTCCCGAGTAGCTGGGATTACAGGTGCACACCACCACACTCAGCTAATTTTTGTATTTTTAGTAGAAACGGGGTTTCACCGTTTTGGCCAGGCTGGTCTTGAACTCCTGACTTCAAATGATCCGCCTGCCTCAGCCTCTCAAAGTGCTGCGATTATAGGCAAGAGCCACCATGCCCAGCCTAGGAAAAAAACACTTTTAAATTAGCCAGGCAAGGTGGTACAGGCCTGTAGTCTCACTACTCAGGAGGCAGAGGTACGAAGATGACTTGAGCCCAAGAGTGGAGGCTGCAGTGAGCTACTATGATCCTGCCACTGTCCTCCACCCTAGGCAACAAAGCAAGACCTTGCCTCTTTAAAAACAGCAACAACAGCAAAAACTATGGTGTGAGGTAGGAGATCCAGCTGCTTTCTTTTGCATGTGGATATTTAGTTGTCTCAGCACCATTTGTTGAAAAGATTTCTTCACTAATTTGTCCTGCAACCTTTGTGAAAAATTAATTTACAAATGCAAGAATGTATTTCTAGACTCTATTCTTACTCCATTGATCTCTGTCTTTAGGTCAGTACCATACTGTCTTGATAGCTAGCTGTCGTTTTGTATTTTTTGAAATTGGGAACTTGGGAGTGTAACTTTGTTCAAGATAATTTTGGGCATTCTGGGTTCCTTACATTTACATATAAATTTTTAAGAGTTGCTTGTCAATTTCTGCAGAAAGCAAGCTGGTATTTTCAGTAAGAATTGTGTTGTATCTATAGATGAGTTTGGGAAATATGGTCGTAATATCAAGTCTTTGGATCCATGAGCATAGGGATGTCTGTTTTTTTTTTGTTTTTTTTTTTTAAGGTCTGTCATTTCTTTCAACACTGGTTGTCAGTGTTCAAGTCTTGTGCTTCTTTTGTTATTGCATTTTTGGCGGGGGGAATATTTGTAATTGGAATAATTTTTTGTAACTTGAAATTGGCCTATTGGTGATATTTATTTATTTATTTATTTTTGAGACGGAGTCTCGCTCTTTCACCGCTATGACAGGCTGGAGTGCAGTGGCACGATCTCTGCTCACTGCAAGCTCCGCCTCTCGGGTTCACGCCATTCTCCTGCCTCAGCCTCCCCAGTAGCTGGGACCAGAGGCGCCTGCCACCATGCCCAGCTAATGTTTTTGTATTTTTAGTAGAGACAGGGTTTCACCATGTTAGCCAGGATGGTCTCGATCTCCTGACCTCGTGATCCACCCGCCTTGGCCTCCCAAAGTACTGGGATTACAGGCGTGAGCCACCGCGCCCGGCCTAGTGATATTTATTTTTAATTAAAATTTTTAGATTCAAGGTACATGTGCAGGTTTGTTATGTGGATTTAATGTGTGATGCTGAGGTTTGGGCTTCTGCTGATCCTGTCATCCAGATGATGAGTATAGATGATGAGTATAGTACTTCACAGATAGTTTTTCAGCCCTCGCCCCTCTTTCCCTCCCACTTTTTGGAGTGCCCAGTGTTTATTGTTCCCATCTTAATGGCTATGTGTACTCAGTGTTTAGCTCCTACTTACAAGTGAGAACAGACAGTATTTGGTTTTCTGGGTTAACTCACTTAGGATAATAGTCTCTGGCTGCATCCATTTTGCTGGAAAAGACATGATTTCATTCTTTTGCATGGCTGCGTAGTATCACATGGTGTATATATACCACATTTATTTTTGAGATAGGGTCTCACTCTGTCGCCCAGGCTGGAGTGCAGTGGTGCGATTTTGGCTCAGTGCAACCTCCACCTCCCAAGCTCAAGCCATCCTCCCACTTCAGCCTCCTTGTGAGTTCAGGCCATCCTCCCACCTCAGCCTCCTTGTAGCTGGAACTACAGATGCCCACCACGCCCAACTAATTTTTGTATTTTTCGTACAGATAAGGTCTCACCATGTTGCCCAGGCTGGTCTCGAATTCCTGGGCTCAAGTGATTCACCCACCTTGGCCTCCGAAAGTGCTGAGATTACAGGTGTGAGCCACCACGCCCGGCCACAATTTCTTTTTCTTGGGATATATACCCAGTAATGGGATCGCTGGGTTGAATGGTCATTCTGTTTTTAGTTTCTTGAGAAATCTCCAAACAGCTTTCCACGGGGGCTGAACTAGTTTACATTCTTGCCAGCAGTGTATAAGTGTTCCCCCCAGCCCCACCACCTTTTTTTTTTTTTTTTTCTTTTTTTTTGAGGCAGGATCTCAGTCTGTTGCCCAGGCTGGAACACAGTGGCATGATTATAGCTCATTGAGCCATGGCTTTCCAGGCTCTAGTGACCCTCCCACCTGAGCCTTCCAGGTTAGCTGGGACTGTAGGCACACACCACTATGACAGGCTCATTTTTAAATTTTTTCGTAGAGATGAGGTCTTACTATGTTGCCCTGGCTAGTAGTTGAATTCCTGGGCTCCAGTGATCCTCCCACCTCAGCTTCCCAAAGTGCTGGGATTACAAGCGTGAGCCACCGTGCCCAGCAATAATAGTCACTCTGACTGGTGTGAGATGACATCTCATTGTGGTTTTGATTTGCATCTCTCTACTAGTGATGTTGAGCATTTTTTCCTATGTTGACTACTTGATTGTTGTCTTTTGAGAAGTGTCTTTTCATACCCTTTGCCCACTTTTCAACAGTGATTTTGTGTGTGTGTTTGTGTGTGGATTTAAGTTCCTTATAGATTCTGGATATTAGTCCTTTGTTGAGTGCATAGTTTGCAATTATTTTCTCCAATTCTGTAGGTTGTCAGTTTACTCTGTTGATAGATTTCTTCTGCTGTGCAGAAACTCTTTCGTTTAACTAGGTCCCAATTGTCAAGTTATTTGTTGCATTTGCTTTTGAGGCTTAGTCATAAATTCTTTGCTTAGGGCAGTGTTGAGAAGAGTATTTCCTAGGTTTTCTTCTAGGATATTTACAGTTTGAGGCCTTACATTTAAGTCTTTAATTTGCCTTGAGTTAGGAATTCTTTTTTCAATTTCATTTTCAGATTGTTCTTTGCTAGCGTGTAGAAATAGTTTTTTACGTATTGATCTTGTAGTTTGCCATCTTGCTGAACTCATTAGTTAGTTTTAATAGTTTTTATGGGTTCCTTAAGATTTTCTATATACAAGATCATGCATTTGCAAATGAAAATGTTTTTACTTCTTTCTAGTCTGGATGCCCTTTATTTCTTGCCTAATTGCCCTGGTTAGAATCTCCAATACAACGTTGAAGTACCAAGAGCAGACATCCTTGTCTTACTGATCGTAGGGGAAAGCATCCAGTCCTTCACAGTGAAGTGTGACATAGGTGTGGGTCTCATAGGCGGGTGCCCTTTATCATGTTGAGGAAGCCTAGTTACAGCTGTAATATTTAGGTTGTCAGTATACTCTGGTGACCTTTCATGGTGTTTGTAAACTTATATGCAAATCAGAAATGATAGTTTGCTGGGTTACTAGGACCAGCAGGTCATTGAATTGGGTAAGATATAATTCTAAGGCATTTGCAACTATTATATGGAACATTTTGGAAAAGCATACCGTGACTGTATAACCTGGGCCAGATAAATAGGTATTTATTTTATTAAGACTATACACGTTGAGCCTTTTAAACTTCCACCTCTTTTAGAATTAGTAATCAAATTGACTGTGCAATCTAGCATTTAGCCTGATAATTCAGTTTTGTGAAAACTATAGAGTGAACTTTAATTCTGAATTTTTTCTTGTCAGTCGAAGGTACTATTTGCGTAGCCTGAAAGATTAAATGGCATAAATTGTGCTTTTAGACATGGTGACTTTTATATTTTCATTTACATTATGAAATTGGATGTGAAGGGGTTTTTCAGATGTGTTGGAAAACTGGAGAGTGTTGTAAACTAATTCGAAGCTGAAAATAAAAAAGTACTGACTTAACGATTTTGATATTTGCAGAAAGGAACAGACCTTTTTGTAGTCACTGTTTGGAATGTAAGGGTCATCTCCTGACTTTAAAATTCTTTGTCAGCTTTTGGAAGATATCTGGTAGGATGGTTCTGGCTGAACTTTTCAAAGACTAAGCTGGAATAGGTGGTTTTTTGAGGGAGATATGGAGAGAGAGTTTAAGGAAACTAATTTTTTTTTTTTTTTTTTTTTTTTTTTTTTTTTTTGAGATGGAATCTCACTCTGTCGCCCAGGCAGGAGTGCAAGGGCGTGATCTCAGCTCACTGCAACCTCCGCCTCCTGGGTTCAAGCGATTCTCCTGCCTCAGCCTCCCTAGTAGCAGGGATTACAAGTGCCCGCCACCACACCCGGCTAATTTTTGTATTTTTAGTAGAGACAGGGTTTCACCATGTTGGCCAGGCTGGTCTCGAACTCCTGGCCTCAAGTGATCCGCCCGCCTCAGCCTCCCAAAGTGCTGGAATTACAGGTGTGAGCCACCATGCCCAGCCAGGAAACTAAATTTTATATGTTGCTATACCAGCTAATCATTCCAAAGAGAAACTGGGTAAGCATACATAGCAAATGCTAATGTGAGTCTTAAGTATCTAGAACACAAGAGCCAAATGAAATTGATATGGCAAATAAAAACATGGAGAAAATAACCCGCACATAGGCTGTGCTCAGTGGCTCATGCCTGTAATCTCAGCACTTTTGGGGGAGGCCAAGGCATGCAGATCACTTGAGTCCAGGAGTTTGAGACCAGCCTGGGCAACATAGTAAAACCCCATCCCTACAAAAAATACAAAAATTAGCTAGGCGTGGTGGTGCGTACCTGTAGTCCCAACGACTTGAAAAGCTGAGGTGGGAGGATCACCTGAGCCCAGGAGGTCGAGGCTGTGGCAGTGAGCTGAAATTAAGCCACTGCACTCCAGCGTGGGCAACAGAGTGAGACCCTGACTCAAAAAAAAAAAAAAGAGAAAGTGACCCACATGTTCACCTCTTAAGAAGCCACAGTAATTCTACATTATCTTAAGGCCAAGAAAATATTTCTCCGGATGGATGGAAACCAAAAGTAGTGAAGTTGTACATAATCTTATAAGAAATGAACGTCATTGTTTTTAAGCTTTCTGTATTATCTGCTGACATGAAAGTGAATCAAGCTATAATAGCCTAAGTCATTTCTGTTTTCTTTTTTTCTTTTTCCTTTTTTTTTTTTAAAGTAGAGACGGGATTTTACCATGTTGGCCAGGCTGGTCTCGAACTCCTGACCTCAAGTGATCTGCCTCCCTTGGCCTCCCAAAGTGCTGGGATTACAGGCATGAACCACCGTGCCCGGCCATGGTTTTGTGGGATGTTTTTTTGAGACAAGGTCTCCCTGTATTACCCAGCCTAGTCTCAAACTCCTGGGCTCAAGGGATCCTCTTCCCTTGGCCTCCCAAAGTGCTGGGATTACAGGCATGAGCCACCATTCCCAGCTAGAAGTCTTAGTTTTAGAATTTTGGGGCTTCTAGTATATGCCGCAGGGGTTATTTATTGACTTCTTAAGAACACTGTTTTCAGGGTTGTTTAAAACAAACTTTATGTATCTTGGTAACCCAGGGTTGATGAATAGCACCAGGAAATAAATATTCTCAGATGACTTCTGTCTTGTAGTATATACTCTGGAGCGAATCATCTTTTAAGATTTAAGTAGTGGAAGCAACACAATCTTAAAATTGCATTTGCTTTAGCACTTGTACAGAAATTGATAATTTTATTTCCTAAAATGAAGACTTAATAGCCAACAGGGTGCCAGCAATTTCAAGATTTACTCGGGAATAAAAAGAATAATTCTTAAACTTGACAGCAATTTAAAGGAAGAAAACTTTCAATTTAAAGGAAGGAAACTTTTACTTCAGACAGTTAACATGCAGTACTGAGATTTAGTAGCAGGTATAAACTGCTTTTGAAGCAGTTGAGTAAAAGGCAGAGTTGTGAAATAGATGAGTGGATTCATATAAGAACCTGGATTATGATCCTAGTTCTGCATGACATTGGACTATGTACATTAACCTCTGCAGAATTAGGTAATTGGAGTACTGTTTCAAGGAGCTTTCTTGCTCTAAAAAGTGTGATTTAGATAGTATGGCCATGAGTCCATGTGGACTTTTTTTTGCTTTTAGAAAGCTGTTGGGGTTGGAATTGACTGGCTTTAAACATTTAGCAAACATTAAATGCTCTTTAACACAAAACAGAGTAGTCAGTCTGCTGTAGAGCAGAGGAGTTGGCATACTATCTTTGTGGGTTGGTTGGTTGGTTCGTTTGTTTATAGACATGAGGTCTCACTGTGTCACTCAGGCTGGTCTTGAACTCCTGGCCTCAAGTGATCCTCCTGCCTTAGCCTGTAATCCCAGGTCTTTGGGAGGCGGAGGCGGGTGGATCACAAGATCAGGAGTTCAAGACCAGCCTGGCCAAGATGGTGAAACCCCCGTCTCTACTAAAAATACAAAAATTAGCCGGGTGCAGTGGCAGGCACCCGTAACCCGTAATCCCAGCTACTCGGTAGGCCGAGGCAGGAGAATTACTTGAACCCAGGGGGCAGAGGTTGCAGTGAGCCAAGATCGCGCCACTGCACTCCAGCCTGGGGGACAGAGCGAGACTCCATCTCAAAAAAAAAAAAAAAAAAAAAAAAAAACGCTGGGATTATAAGTGTGAGCTATAGCGTCCAGCTAATATTTTGGGTTTTGTGGGCCACAACAATCTCTGTACCAAAGTCTTTTGTAAAATATGAAAAGAGAATTGTTTAAAAAAAAAAAAAAAAAGGTGTTGGCTGGGTGCAGTGGCTTATCCCTGCAATCCTAGCATTTTGGGAGGCCATGGCAGGAGGATCACTTGAGCCCAGGAGTTTGAGACCAGCCTGGGCAACATATTGAGACCTTGTCTTTACAAAAAAAGTTTTAAAAACTTGCATAGTGAGGCTGGGAGCCATGGCTCATGCCAGCACTTTGGGAGGCTGAGACGAGGTTCACTTGAGCTCAGGAGTTTGAGACCAGCCTGGGCAACATGGAAAGACCCCGTCTCTAAAAAAATAAAAAATGAAAATTTGCTGGGCATGTTGACGTGCTCCTGTAGTCCCTGCTTCTCGGGAGGCTGAGGTGGGAGGATCAGTTGAGCCTGGGAGGTCAGGGCTGCAGTGAGCTCAGATCGTGCCAGTATGCTCCAGCCTGGGTGACAGAGTGAGACAGAGTAAAACTCTGTCTCCCAAAAAAAGTTCGGGGGGTGGGGAGCCTTAAGATTTTGCACACTGCTTAGATCAATGTTTCTCTAACTTCATGTGTGCAGGAATTACCTGGGGATGTTGTTAAAATGTATGTTTTGATTGGTTCAGTCTGAAATGGGGCCTGATTATTCTGCATTTCTAATAAGCTCCCAGGTCAATAATTTGAGTAGCAAGGCTCTAGAGCAGATCTTAATCATTTCTAGATCACAGTCCCTTTGAGAATTAATGAAATTTATGGACTTTCTTCCCCAAAAACATATATTGAAAATCTTGTGTGCAACTTCAGGAGGTTCATTTGTCCTCCTCCTCAGAAAGTCCACCTCAGGATTCTAGCTATTTAGTTTTGAAAACTGAAGTACAGGCCGGGCATGGTGGCTCATGCCTGTAATCCCAGCAATTTAGGAGGCCAAGGCAGGCGGATCATTTGAGCCCAGGAGTTCGAGACCAGCCTGGCCAACACTGTGAAATCCCATCTTCACTAAAAATACAAAAATTACCCGGGTGTGGTGGTGGATGCCTGTAATCCTAGCTACTTGGGTGGCTGAGGCACGAGAATCGCCTAAACCCAGGAGATGGAAGCTGCAATGAGCCTAGATTGCACAACTGCATTCCACCCTGAGGGACAGAGCGAGACTCTGTTGCAAAAAAAAAAAAAAAAGAAAACAAAACAAAAAAGAAAAATTGCTTTAGTTGTTCTGTAAATCCTGGAAGCTATACCTCTGTTTCCAAAGCCAAGGTATAAATTATTACTCTAGAAAACGGATAAGCAGAAGAGCAAAATAGTCTAAAACAAAAATCAGCATAGAGAGTTTTTGAGTTTGAGAGCCCCTGAGCACTGTCAGAATAGCTAAGACATTAAGAACTGTGAGAAATGAGAGTTCTCCTCAACCATCAGACCATGATAGGCCAGTTGATCTTGAAGCCTGACCTGATTTCATGGGGCTGGCATTTCCTTCCTGATTTCCTGTAATCACCTCCTCTCTACTCCCCATGATTCAGTGGTAGTCACAGTACCAGGAAGTGCCAACCTTTTCATTCTTGCTACTGAGATGAAGATTTTGGAAAAAGGAGAAGAAACCATGTGGTTTGGGAACCACCTTTCCTTTTTTTTTTTTTTTTTTTTTTGATACGGAGTCGCTCTGTCGCCCAGGCTGGAGTGCAGTGGAATGATCTCGGCTCACTGCAAGCTCCGCCTCCTGGGTTCACGCCATTCTCCTGCCTCAGCCTCCCCGTTAGCTGTGACTACAGGCACCCACCACAATGTCCGGCTAATTTTTTGTATATTTTAGTAGAGATGGGGTTTCACCATGTTAGCCAGGCTGGTCTCAAACTCCTGACCTCAAGTGCTTCATCTGCCTTGGCCTCCCAAAGTGCTGGGATTACAGGTGTGAGCCACCGCTGCTGGCCATGGGAACCACCTTTCCTAAGCATTAACACCAAACCACCTAGATGGGCAGATTTAACTGTGACCAACTTTTATATTAAAAGATAATGGAACTTTTTTTTTTTTTTTTTTTTTTGAGACAAAGTCTCGGCTCTGTCACCCAGGCTGGAGAGCAGTGGTGCAATCTTGGACCACTGGAACCTCTGCCTCCTGGGTTCAAGCGATTCTTCTGCCTCAGCTTTCCCATTAGCTGGAATTACAGGTGTGCACCACCCCACCTGGCTATTTTGTATTTTTTTTTTAGTAGAGACGGGGTTTCACCATGTTGGCCAGGCTGGTCTTGAACTCCTGACCTCAAGAGATCCACCCACCGTCAGCCTCCCAAAGTGTTGGGATTACAGGCATGAGCCACTGTGCCCGGCCGATAATGGAACTTTTGAAAACCAAGGGCTTGGTGGCCGGGTACACTGGCTCATGCCTGTAATCCCAGCACTTTGGAGGCCGAGGCGGGCAGATCACCTGAGGTCAGGAGTTCGAGACTAGCCTGACCAACATGGAGAAACGCTGTCTCTACTAAAAATTCAAAATTAGCTGGGCATGGTAGCGCTTGCCTGTAATCCCAACTACTTGGGAGGCTGAGGCAAGAGAATCACTTGAACCCAGGAGGCAGAGTTTGTGCTGAGCTGATATCGTGCCATTGCACTCCAGCCTGGGCAGCAAGAGTGAAACTCTGTCTCAAAAAAAGAAAAAAAAAAAAAAAGTAAAACAAAGGGCTTGGCATTATCAGTGCCAGAAAAATACAAGATTGAGAGAATGGGGAAACAGGAGGGACATAAACTTGGTGGGAGTATACATTTGTATGCAAAAGTAAAAGATAACAGACGAAGATGTTAACCCTGTAACACCGTAAAAGGAAATGTTAGAAATAACTAGATAGCCATAAAAATAGAGGATGATTCATTTAGTTCATGGTATGGTTGTGAAATACTGTGGCCTTGAACAAGTACCTTTTAGTGTCTCATTTTCCTCATCTATAAACAGGGAGGGAGTAAAGATAATAGATCCCTCCTTAGAGTTGTGAAGATTGAATTAGTAACCTGTGAAGCTGTTCCAGCAGTACCTGGTCTAGAAATAATAGTCTCAAAATTTCATTGCTTATTATTACTATACAGCCACTTTTTAAAATGAGACAGGTATGTATAAATATAAAAGGTCTAATATTGTTTTAGTGAATGTTGTACATAAAGAGATGTCCAGAAAATCCAGAAGATACACTTTTTTTTTTTTTTTTTGGAAATGGAGTCTCGCTCTGTCGCCCAGGCTGGAGTGCAGTGGCATGATCTCAGCTCACTGCAAGCTCCGCCTCCTGGGTTCATGCCATTCTCCTGCCTCAGCCTCCCAAGTAGCTGGGACCACAGGCACCCGCCACCATGCCCGGCTAATTTTTTGTATTTTTAGTAGAGACGGGGTTTCACCATGTTAGCCAGGATGATCTCGTTCTCCTGACCTTGTGATCCGCCTGCCTCAGCCTTCCAGAGTGCTGGGATTACAGGCGTGAGCCATCGCGCCCGGCAATATACTGTTAACTGTATATATATCTGTTGAAAGAGGGGAAGAAGAATGGTGTTTGACCTTTTAAACGTGCATTTTTCTTTTGTGATAAAAATCTCTGTTGGTAGGTAGGCTGGAGTACTCTAACATTGCTTAGTGCATGGTTGCCTTTGCAACATCTAATGAATTGGTTACCTTTCTACCCCCATAACTCTAGTAACTGGAAACTTGCTTAATGATCAGTGTCATTTTTTTAGTCAGTTCATTATAAAATATTCCTTATGAGCTAAAATATATTTTGTCTGTTGTGTATGTTAGCTTTTTTAATTTGGAGCCACATAGAAATCTGATTTATCACCAGTTTAGATCTGAAGGGGAGCTTATGAAACCTTATTTTAGGGGATGAGAAGACTAAAACTCAGAGTTTGTAACTTATCCAGGAGCATGTGGCAGTTTGTGGCAGTACTAGGACTGTCAAATGTTAGCAGTATAGCGTATCCTAAAATTTTTATTTTTGGCCGGGTGCGGTGGCTCACGCCTGTAATCCCAGCACTTTGGGAGGCCTAGGTGGGTGGATCACTTGAGGTTGGGAGTTCGAGACCAGCCTGGCCAACGTGGTGAAACCCCATCTCTACTAAAAATACAAAACTTAGCCGGCCGCATCGGCACACGCCTGTAGTCCCAGGTATTTGGGAGGGAGGCAGGAGAATTGCTTGAACCCAGGAGGCGGGGGTTGCAGTGAGCTGAGATCACGCCACTGTGCTCCAGCCTGGGTGACAGAGCAAACAAACAAAATTAGCTTGGTGTGGTGGTGGGCACCTGTAATCCCAGCTACTCGGGAGGCTGAGGCAGGAAAATCGCCTGAACCTGGGAGGTGGAGGTTACAGTGAGCCGAGATCATGCCACTGCACTCCAGCCTGGGCAACAAAGCTAGTCTCCATCTCAAAAAGTAAAATAAAATAAAATGTTTATTTCCAAGTTAGTCTTAGCATTTGTTTCAAACGCTTTACCATCTTGGTAGTTCTCTTTGGTACCCAGATTGAATGCAGTTATGTAAATGGAGTCTGGTTGTCATTCTAGACATTTTTTGTCTTCTGACAGTCTATGGAAATTTCTTTGGCAGTCTTAATTACTCTACCAGCTAAAACTACAGTCTTTCTTAGGTGTTCTTCCCATCCCCCCATTCCTAAATTTCTAGACTTTTACTGGCATAGATTATTTTGGTTTTAGTCTAAACGTAGAATTTAAGCAACTACCATTATTGAACCTCATTTAGCTTAACCAAAGCTGTTATCTCTTTGGACCCTGATTTTTTATTGTTTCTAGCTTCGTGATGTTCTTCAACTTGGTAATTAGAAGTCTTTTGCTACATGTATACTAAAGGAAATATGTGTGCCAAATGCTTTATTCATTGACAGATATTTTATTTGACACCCACTGTGTGCCAGGTATAGTGGTAGGGCTAGGAAATCAGTGATGTCTGAGTGACTCTGCCTTTATGGAGCTTTTGGTTTTAGTGGGGAAGATTCATGAAGACCATGCGAGTGTAAGGAAAGGACAGGATGCTCTGTGGGCACACAGTGAGGGATGCCAGCCTAATCTGGGAGTTAGAGGAAAGCCTTACTATTTATGGGAGAAGAAAGGGTATGTGAAGGCCCAGAAACAAGTTAGAGGAACTGAAGAGCATAGTGTGTGATGCTCAGAGGGAGGTGAGAGGGTGACAGGCAAACAGCACTTGGGTCATGGAGGCTGTTATAAGCCCGGGTTGGGATGCCAAAGAAGCTGTTGAAAGATTTTAAAACAGGAGGAGATCACGTTTGCCATTTTAAAGACAGTACTGTCTAAGAAACAGATTGGGAGCAAACCACAGTAGTATAATGGGGTATTGTGTAATGTTCCTTCCCTGTTCACCGTGAGGCCTGGAAGTAGTTTAAAGTAGTCAAGTAGAGCTTCTCAAATGAAGAATTTCATTCAGTCTCTGCTAAACTACAAAATTTATGACTCAAATTGGAAACACGGTGAAAATTTTGAGTCACAGTTAAATGTTTAAGTAGTTTAAGATAAATCTGTTATGCCTTGTGTTTCCTAGGAGCCATTTAGATTCAAAAACAACAGTGGCATTTAGAAGGTAATTTCTGGTCTTAAATAGTGTTTTTCTTATAAAAGATTTTAATAACTGGTGTTTGCCACAATAAATTAGGTTTTTAAAATGCATAATACAATTGATTAATAAAAAGGATTTTTTAAAAAAATAATGCTGATTTTTGGTTTGTTTGGGTTTTTTTTGAGATGGAGTCTCACTGTGTCACCCAGGCTGGAGTGCAGTGGCGCAATCTCAGCTCACTGCAACCTCAGCCTCCAAGTAGCTACAATTATAGGCGCCCGCCACCATGCCGGGCTAATTTTTATATTTTTAGTAGAGACGGAGTTTCACCATGTTGGCCAGGCTGGTCTCAAACTCCTGACCTCAAATGCTTCGTCCGCCTTGGCCTCCCAAAGTGCTGGGATTACAGGTGTGAGCCACCATGCCCGGCTTGAATAATGGTAGTTTTAACCATCAGTATTTATATTTGACATAAGTGGTACAAATAATGTTTCAGTATCATGGCTTATAAACGTTTGCATGGAGTTCTAAAACGTGGCAAACTGATAATTTAATGAACTCTTACTTGAACTCTTGTGCAAGTATACTGTGAGGATTTTGTTCTGATTGGAAATCTTTATTGTAATAGCAAATTAAAGAGCTGTGGATTTTCAAGAGCTGAATTTGAAAGGTGTCAGATGTTAAATGGAAGGTAATTCAGAGTTTATTCTTTTATTGTACCTGCCTCCACCCAAAGAGTCAGAGAAAAACATTTGGAAGAAAAAATTGCAGAGCATCCCTTTGGCAAGAGTAAGAATTTTCCACTACCACTTGCCCTAAGAGCATTGACATGCCTCACCAGGGAAATGTTACAGGATGTGATCATCGGAACAGCCTAGCCTGCTCTTCATGCACAAAATCCTTTGTCTGAAATTCACAGAAGCCTCTCCAGACAAAGGGAAATTGTTGTGTCTTCACTTGAAAAGTATTCGGTGGACCTTTACTTTCATGAACCTTTTAACTCTAAGAACCTGTTTTCCTAATAGAGTCAACCCTAAATTGACTCTGATATCAACAAAAGGAATGTAACAGTCACACAGCAAGTTAAACAAAGGTTTTCATTAATTGAGCTTCCTTAGAGAAGGCTACTTTTACTTCCTAGCCTGAGTTCCTGTGCATAAAATGAAGAGGACATTGGTTGGTCAAGATGATGTGATGGTCCCTCTAGCTAAGAAAATACTAGAATATGGCAGGTTCGTTGGTTTGTTTTTGAGATGGAGTCTCGCCCTTTCACCCAGGCTGGAGTGGCGCAACTTCGGCTCACTGCAACCTCCGCCTCCAAGGCTCAAGCGATAGTCTTGCTTTAGCCTCCCAAGTAGCTGGGATTGCAGGCACCCACCACCACACCCGGCTAATTTTTGTATTTTTAGTAGAGATGGGGTTTCATCATCTTGGCCAGGCTGGTCTTGAACTCCTGACCTCAGGTGATCTGCCTGTCTCAGCTTCCCAAAGTTCTGGGATTACAGGCATAAGCCACCGTGCCCAGTCTATGGCAGGTTTTTTGGATTTATGTTTCTTCAATATCTTTCTACAAAGATCAGTTTCTAATAGAAGCCAATTAAACATAGAAACTCTAAGGTAGCATATTTCCCAAGTGTTGGGAGGCTTTGGAGCTTTTTAGCTTCGAGTTGGTGTGCCTGATAGATGAGAAACAGCACAACAGAAAAGCTGTTCATAGGATCCATGACTCTAGCTATTGCATTTTTTCTCTTGCATTAATTTTTCTAGTGTATTTGTAAAACCTTTTTAAAAATATGGATTCTTAATTTTAAAATTAACCTGGTGCAATGGCACATGCCCGTAGTCCTAGTTACTTGGGAGGCTGAGGTGGGAAGATGACTTGAGCCCAGGAGTTCAAGGCTGTAGTTCACCGTGATCACGCCAGTATACTCCAGCCTGGGTGACAGAGTGAGACCCTGTCTGTAAGAATAAAAAATGAAAAAAAAAAAAAAAAAAAAAAAGTGGATTCCTAGACCCCACTCCAAATGCATTTAATCATACTCTTAAAGAATCTGTAAAAGATCTCCAGATAACTCTTCTTGTCGTTTCTAAATATTTAATTGCCACTTGATTAGAATGGAAGTTGTAAGATGGAAACATTTAGAACAGCTGTGGTCAGTATTTAAGGGTTTCCCAGGCATTTGACATTTGTTCCTCTAGCATTTGACATTTAAGGTATTCCTCAGTATTTGGCCAAAAGTTAAATGTGTATCAATACAGTTTCTGCACAGCAAAGAAACACCTTTCATATATTTTAGTAGACCTTTATAAAGGGAAAGAGTACATGTTGGTTTCCTTATAATGCCAGTATAAATATAATCTTTCATATACATAATATATACTATATTATATATTAATACTATATATAATAAATCTATACTACACATATTGTATATTTATACTATAGGACCAATAGGTAAGACCTATAGTCCTGTACTACCTGTTGGTCCTGTAGGTGTATCTATTAGTGTTAGGTAGGACCATTACTAAATACAGTGTGTATATATACTAAATATGTATATTTAGTATTGGTCCTACCTAATACTGTTAGATAACGATTGGATATCCCTAATCTGAAAAGCTCAAAGATCAGAAACTTTTTGAGCACCAACATGATGCTCAAGGGAAATACTTACTGGAGCATTTCAGATTTTGAGTTTTTTGTGTAGAGATGTTCAACAGTAAGAATATAAATCAAACACTCCAAATTTTAATTTTAAAATACTGTTTCCAAGCATTTTGGGTAAGGGATACTCAACCTGTAATATGTTGGCAGTGTTACCCAGGAAATTTAACCTTGGTATTTCTTACCTGAAAAATACATTTTCTATTTATTTCAAATCCTCTGAGCTTCCACTGAAACACAGCAAAACACATGCCAAAACATTGCTTTTGTATCCTCTTGTAGGTTGTACTCAATTTAAATATTAGATTTGTTGACCTTTTAAAATTTGTCAAGTATATGAGAGTATGAGCTAGGGTTTATATATTGAATTGTTTAAGTCTGTTCAGCAGTTACAATGCAGAAGTAAAATAGTGCTTATAGATTGACGACCGCTATCTCACATTGGACAGAAGTCTTCTACTCCATAGGATCATGACATTGACGTAAATCAAATCCTCAGACACCAAAGGAACATTTGGAAATAAATTTTCCATTTAGGGTCATAATATTCATCATTGAACTTGTCCTCTTTTTGAAATGTTCGAGGGCATGTAGGATCAGGTTAATCATGACAGGCAGAAATAGTGCAGTATAGGGCATGTTAGCTGTTAAAGACCACTAAAGTTTAGAATATAGTTACTTTGTTGTCTTAAATCATCTGTTAGATGTACTCTCTTCAATGTAGTTAGAGCAGAATTATATTAAAATGAAAGGTTCTCGTTGATTCAGTCTGAATATTGCTGTTCATTGCACAAGCATTTCCAGCAGGAATTTCACCTTAGCTTGTGTGTCCCTGCAGTCAAATGCAAGGGTGATCTTTGCCTGTTGAGATTATATATTGACAAACTGTGCCGCCTTGTGACCACATTGCTTACTTAGGCTATAGCATTGTTTTTATGCACTCAAATTAAAAAAGTAAACCATATTCTCCCTGAACTTAAGCTCCGAAGTAGAGAAAAATCAGAACTAATTTGAAGGTTTAAGAAGTTCAGTGTTGGCTGGGTGCAGTGGCTCACGCCTGTAATCTCAGCATTTTGGGAGGCAAGGCAGGTGGATGCCTGAGGTCAGGAGTTTGAGATCAGTCTGGCTAACATAGTGAAACGCTATCTCTACTAAAAATACAAAAATGAGGCTGGTTGTGGTGGCGCACGCCTGTAGTCCCGGTTGATCAGGAGGCTGAGGCAGGGGAATCGCTTGAACCCGGGAGGTGGAGGTTGCAGTGAGCTGAGATCATGCCACTGCACTCCAGTCTGGGTGATAGAGCAAGACTCTGTCTCTGAAAAGAAAATAAAAAATAAGAAATTCAATGTTTACTTCTTGGACAGGAGTGCTATTTTGCCATTTTGTATATGACTGGTAACATGCAATTCAGTATAGAGAGTAAGTCTGAAAAATGATTTGATTTTAAAATGCCATCTGCAAGTATGGGAGAATTTTCTTATGTAATTTGTAGCTGCCCTTTCGTAAGACTTACAAACCACCTTAATTATCTTTCAGAAAATCACGGACAGCTGTTTTGTTGTTATTATTGTTGTTTTGAGACAAAGTCTCGCTCTGTCTCCAAAGCTGGAATGTAGTGGTGTGAACTCGGCTCACTGCAACCGTCTGAGTAGCTGAGACTACAGGCACACTACCATTCCTCCCAGCTAATTTTTTATATTTTTAGTAGAGACAGGTTTTCGCCATGTTGGCCAGACTGGTCTCGAACTCCTAGCTTCGAGTGATCCTCCCGCCTCAGCCTCCCAAAGTGTTGGGATTAACGGACAGCTGTTTTAATGTCCAGCTGCTTTGTGTGATTGTGCCACTCATTCAGCAGTATTTGAATACCAGCAGAGGGCTGGGCACTATTCTCAAGGTGCATGGCTTTGTCTGTTACTTGGGCTATGTTGTGGAATTTCACTTTGTACACACATCAAGGAAAGGGGCTGAGATTTGGGCCTTTTAAGAGCTATTAAAGTAACTTGTTGGCCTAGGAAAGAAGACTCAGTTGACTTAAAGATCTTCAGGTTATGCAAGAGGTTTATTATTCATTTAATTGATATTTCTTTTTTTTTTTATGAGACGGAGTCTCGCTCTGCCGCCCAGGCTGGAGTGCAGTGGCGCGATCTCAGCTCACTGCAAGCTCCGCCTCCCGGGTTCACGCCATTCTCCTGCCTCAGCCTCCCATTAATTGATATTTCAAAAAGTATCAAAGGATATATGCCCCAGCTGTGCAGTGTTACTAGTTTGCTACACCTTCCCAGAGGTGTTTCTTTATACCATTGGAAGTTGTCATTTTAGTATGAATTAATTACATGTTATACGAGCATATCAAAGGGTTTGAAACAGTGAAAGAGCTAAGATTAACTTGGAAATAAACATTTTATTTTATTTTACTTTTTGAGATGGAGACTAGCTTTGTTTCCCAGGTGGTGTGCACCTGTAGTCCTTCTGCTTGGGAAGCTGAAGTGGGAGGTCAAGGGTGCAGTGAGCTGTGATTGCCTCACTGATCTCTACATCCTGGGTGACAGAGCAAGGCCCTGTCTCAAAAAAAAAAAGTGGTGTTACTGTGTAGTTTTATTTTGCATTTGCCATGTGTTTCGTTAATTGAATATCTTTTTAAAGGGGGCCATTTGCTTCCTGTTCACAATAATTTAGCTTTTTTGATGGAATGAATCATGGCATATACAACTTTATTCTCTTTGCTGTGCCTTGTGTATATGTAGTAAGACTTTTACTTACTGCTAAGTAGGAAAGTATTCTTTAAAGTGAAAGCTTGAAGGCCTGTCTGAAGATACAGAGCAAAATTTCTTAGAATAATGTAGTTAGGTTTCCTTAAGCCTCATTCTCTTCCTTCCTAATTCAAATCTTGAATCCATCTAAAGTTTTTTATGACTCCAAGATAGGTTGATCACTTTGCTTGTTTTAACTGAATTTTATGTATTTGTGTTATATGCAGATCATTTATTTTCTTTAAAAATTGATTTGGAGACAAATTCATCTTTAGATAACATAGTTTTAAAAGTTGCTCATTTCAGCCGCCTTTTTTTTCTCCTAATTAGTTGGTGACAAAGTTCCTGCTGATATAAGGTTAACTTCCATCAAATCTACCACACTAAGAGTTGACCAGTCAATTCTCACAGGTAAATATGATATATTAAGTCATTGAATTTCTGAAGACCTTCGCATATTCCATGCCAATAGAGTTGGCTCTTGCCTCACTGTCCCTTTATGGTATCCCATCTTAATCCTCTCTAAGATACTTATTTCTTAGTGCTTTAGTCTCGCTCCATTGCCCAGGCTGGAGTGCAGTGGCGTGATTGCGGCTCACTGCAGCCTCCGCCTCTCAGGTTCAGGCAGTTCTCCTGTCTCAGCCTCCCAAGTAGCTGGGACTACAGGCTCCTGCCACCATGCCCAGCTAATTTTTGTATTTTTATTAGAGATGGGGTTTTACCTTGTTGGTCAGGCTGGTCTTGAACTCCTGACCTCAGGTAATCCACCTGCCTCGGCCTCCCAAAGTGCTGGGATTACAGGCGTGAACCACTGCACCTGGCTGCCGATACGGTTTTAAAGGCATGATTTAAAAACAAAACAAAATGGCTGGGCACGGTGGCTCATGCATGTAATTCCAACACTTTGGGAGACTGAGGCGGGCAGATGGCTTGAGCCCAGGAGTTAAAGACGGGCCTGGGCAACATGGCAAAACCCCGTATCTACAAAAAATACAAAAATTAGCCAGGCCTGTAATCCCAGCTACTCAGGAGGCTGGGTGAAAAGATCACTTGTGCCTAGGTCAAGGCTACAGTGAGCCATGCTTGTGCCTCTGCACTCCAGCCTGGGGGACAGAGCAAGACTCTGTCTCCAAAAAAAAGTTGTAATTTGTTCGTTACCATAGGTAAATCTTAAGGTTGAATTGTTGTCTGTTTTGTGGAAAGCAAATTACTTATTCGATGTCCTTTTTCCAGGCAAGAAAAATAGACTCCAGTGCTGTAATTTTTTTCACTGGAGGAGTGCTAATGTTGTATCAATCTTTACAGTATCCAAATACACAATGAACAAAAGTTAGCCCCCATAAGAGATGAAAATTGTACTACCTGGAATTTGCACAATTGTTTGAAACATTTTCCCGTTTTTGTGTGATAAAAGCACAATCTAGGGTGGAGGGTTCATACTAACTGGAAGTAAGTTTGTCAGAAGAATTAACTTTAAATACAATGCTAACTTGGATTAAATAGTAAACATAAAGTCTAAAGGCTCTCAAGATTTATCTGATTATCAATTTTGAAAAGCAGCTAATGTCATGGAGACAGTTATATGAGTAACCTGGCTCTATTTTTTTTGGTATTGTTTCTTTATAAATAGCTTACTTATTAAAATTCTCATTAGCAACAACAAGCTGGAGGCCAATTAAGCCATAAAATGTTGGAGAAATGGTTGGGTTATATGTGTGAAATTCTCATAGTGTGCCCTAAAGACGTAGTTGCCATTTAAAAAAAATTTTTTTTTTTTTGAGGCGGAGTCTCGCTCTGTTGCCCAGGCTATAGTGTAGTGCTGTGATCTCAGCTCACTGCAACCTCTGCCTCCTGGATTCAAGCTGTTCTCCTGCCTCAGCCACCTGAGTGTCTGGGATTATAGGCGTGCGCCACCATGCCCAGCTTATTTTTGTATTTTTAGTAGAGACGGGGTTTCACTGTGTTGGTCAGGCTGGTCTCGAACTCCTGATCTCATGATCCGCCTGCCTTGGCCTCCCAAAGTGCTGGGATTACAGGCATTTAAAAACTTTTTAGGCTGGTCACGGTGGCTCATGCCTGTAATTTCAGGACTTTGGGAGGCTGCGGCAGTAGGATCACTTGTGGCCAAGAGTTTGAGAGAGCAGTTATAGTCTCTATAATGAAAATCTTTTTTTTTTTTTTTTTAAAGACAGAGTTGCACTCTGTGGCCCAGTGGCGCGATCTCAGCTCAGTGCAGCCTCTGCTTCCGGGGTTCAAGTAATTCTCATGCCTCAGCCTCCCTAGTAGCTGAAATTACAGGCATGCACCACCACACCTGGCTAATTGTATTTTTAGTAGAGATAGGGTTTTGCCATGTTGTCCAGGCTGGTCTTGACCTCCTGACCTGAAGTGATCGCCCGCCTCAAACCCCCAAAGTGCTGGGATTACAGACATAAGTCATCACACCCAGCCTATAATAAAAAACTTTAAAAGTTTAAAAAAAAATTTAAACTTCATAGAGGTTCTCGAATATTATCTTTCTTTCATTAAGAAATCATAATGTAGTTTTTGGCTAACTTGTGGAACCAATTTTTTTGGTCAAATATTGAGAGTGAAGTTTGCTACCTGTAACTTAAAGTAACATTTAGAGACATATTTTACTCAGATTGACCCTAATTATATATCTATGACATGATTTTTAAATTGAAATCAGCTGGGCATGGTGTCTCATGCCTGTAATCCCAGCACTTTGGGAGGCCGAGGTGGGGGGATCACCTCAGGTCAGGAGTTTGAGACCAGCCTTGGCCAACATAGCAAAACCTGTCTCTACTAAAAATACAAAAATTAGCTGGGCATGGTGGCACATGCCTGTAATCCCAGCTACTTGGGAGGCTGAGGCTGGAAAATTGCCCGGGAGGCAGAGGTTTCAGTAAGCCAAGATTGTGCCACTGGACTCCAGCCTGGGCAACAAAGCAAGACTCCGTCTCAAAAAAAAAAAAAAAGTAGTTCTTTATTTACCATGCGATCTTTCCAGTACACTTGCTAATTGCTACTCCAGAGCATAGCCAGATGTGGCCCACACCTGTAATTCCAGCACTTTGAGGAGGACAAGATGAGCAAATTGTTTGAGTCCACGAGTTGGAGACCACCCTGGGCAACATGGTAAAACCTCATCTCTACAAAAAAATACCAAAAAAATTAACCCGGCGTGGTATTGGGTGCCTGTAATCCCAGCTATTCAGGAAGCCAAGTTGGGAAGATTGCTTGAGCCCAGGAAGTTGAGGCTGTAGTGAGTTGTGATGGTGCCATTGCACCAGCCCGGGTGATAGAGCAAGACCTCTGTCTCGAAAAAAAAAAAAAGTATCAGTATATATGTTAAAGTATTTATTAAAGTATACAACAAATATATGTAAATAATACAGTCACAGTATCAGAGTATAAAATGATTACTGAAAAATAAATTAATTTGAATAGTTACTCCAGAAAATAATCAATGGGGATTCTACTTGAAAATTCACTTTTTTATTTTGGAATTGTGTTGATTTTTATCCTGACACCCTTTGTTCTGGTATTAATTTCCATTACTAAGTTTTCCCAGCTTACCTCCTTTGAATGAATTGGGCCTTTTGCCAACCTTTTCTCACACTAACAGTATCCCAAGAGTGGTAATGGGTGGGCATGAATGAGAGGTTCTAGGTTCTTGGTGTGGGTCGCAGAGATCTGTTTTTTCTGTCTCACAACCCGCTTAGGTGAATCTGTCTCTGTCATCAAGCACACTGATCCCGTCCCTGACCCACGAGCTGTCAACCAAGATAAAAAGAACATGCTGTTTTCTGTAAGTACTTTATGAAATGTGTTTTTATTTACAGACATTTCCAAAGCCTAATCAAATGTTATGTTTTTCACTGCCAACCATCACTGGCTATCATTCTAAAGGATAATCACACTTTTCATGGTCAGTCTTAGGTGTCAGAATATGGCAGTAACATAACGTGTGACTTAGATGTCTTTTAATTGGCAAGTTTTGGGGGACCAAAAAATAATGACTAGCTTATACATCTTCAAACTCTTACCTGCAAACATAGTTGAAAAGTAGATTTGTTTGGAAAAGCCTTAGCCAATAAAGGGTATTTTCAAAATGATGTAGATGACAGCTGCTATTTGTATGTGGTTCACAATAAAAAGGTGCGTGTTTAGAGAGAGAGAGAAAGCAAACATGGCAAACCATTAATAATGGTGAGTCTAGGTGCAAAGTATATGAATGTTCATTTTACTATTTCACTTTTTCTATTGATGTGAAAAATTCTTTGAATAGTGAGGAAATGATTTTAAGTTGGGGACATTTGTGGGTTTGTATGAGAACCTGACTACTACCCATAGTAAGTAAATAGAGGTACCCTGAAAATAGTGAAGCCATGTCCTTCTCTTATAACACTAGGAATTAAAGTGGCATGGGAGAGACTGCTCACATTTGATTTCTTTGGTTTTTGGACCCTGTCACATGAGTAGGGGTTGTCAAGATAGCCCATGGGGCTAGTTGCCGTTTCTATTACAGTGAGAAAAGTAGGGGCCTTGAGTTGTTGGAGCCAGAAGTGGAGAATGCTTAGAGTTGAACTATATGAGTTTGAAAAATTGGGAACACAGAGGGGTTAAGAGCACTGCTTGAAGATGGTCTGCAAGCCGGGCTCAAATAGAAATCTAGGTGGGTCAGTACAGAGCTGCCTGACATAAGTAAGTAGCACATGGAGCATTGCTTGTTGTCACAGTTGTATGGCTGGTTGCTTGAACAGTAGCCAGTGGAAGACCTAGTAGAATGTGTAGAGAATCTGGGTGCCCTAGTCAAAAACCAGCGTCGGTATTTAAGTTGGGATGTGGTATTCATCTTGTGACCAGTTCTCTACTTCTGTCCTAGGGTACAAACATTGCTGCTGGGAAAGCTATGGGAGTGGTGGTAGCAACTGGAGTTAACACCGAAATTGGCAAGATCCGGGATGAAATGGTGGCAACAGAACAGGAGAGAACACCCCTTCAGCAAAAACTAGATGAATTTGGGGAACAGCTTTCCAAAGTCATCTCCCTTATTTGCATTGCAGTCTGGATCATAAATATTGGGCACTTCAATGACCCGGTTCATGGAGGGTCCTGGATCAGAGGTGCTATTTACTACTTTAAAATTGCAGTGGCCCTGGCTGTAGCAGCCATTCCTGAAGGTCTGCCTGCAGTCATCACCACCTGCCTGGCTCTTGGAACTCGCAGAATGGCAAAGAAAAATGCCATTGTTCGAAGCCTCCCGTCTGTGGAAACCCTTGGTTGTACTTCTGTTATCTGCTCAGACAAGACTGGTACACTTACAACAAACCAGATGTCAGTCTGCAGGGTAAGAGGAGTAATTTAGAATATTCCGTGTCGTGGTTCTTTGTTCATCCTACCAATATGCCTTCATGCCATCAAAACTTTTGATTTGTAATTTCATACATTTCTGTGGGCTGTATGTATAGCCTGAGCTTAATTTCTAATATTTGAGAGGATCTAATCATTTAATTCCTAAAACTTTCACAAAATACAGGATATCTGTATGGCTGATATACTTGTATTAGATGTAAGAGAATTAGAGAAATTATATTTTCCTTTAATTAAAAAAAAAAAAAGCCTGGGCGCAGTGGCTCACGCCTGTAATCCCAGCACTTTGAGAGGCCGAGGCGGGTGGATCACCTGAGGTCCGAAGTTTGAGACCAACCTGACCAAAATGGTGAAACCCTGTCTCTACCGAAAAGACAAAAATTAGCTGAGTGGTGGCGTGCACCTGTAGTCCCAGCTACTCGAGAGGCTGAGACAGGAGAATTGCTTGAACCTGGGCAGCGGAGGTTGCAGTGAGCCAAGATCACACCACTGCTCTCAATTCTGGGCGACAAGCAAGACTCCATCTCAAAGAAAAGAAAAGAAAAAAGACAAGGTCTCATTCTGTTGCCCAGGCTAGTGTGCAGTGACACAGCTGTGGCTCACTTACAGCCTCAACCTCCCAGGCTCAAGTCCTCCCACCCCAGCCTCACAAGTAGCTGCAACCACAAGTGCATGCCACCATGCCCCACTAGTTTTTTTATTTTTTTTTGTAGAGGCAGGTTCTCACTATGTCACCAGGCTGGTCTTGAATTCCTGGGCTCAAGTGATCCTCCTGCCTTGGCCTCCCAAAGAGCTGGGATTATAAGCATGAACCACCACACTCAGCCTCCTTTCTAATTTTCCTGATCCTCTGTCTCTAGGTGTATGTTAATAGACAAGTTCTAGAGAAAGCTGCTAGTTAACCTCCCTACCTGAAGTCCTAATTGGTTTTTCTATCACATGTTGAATGAAGCGTGCTTTTTCTCAAAAAGTAGATAGTCATCTCTCTGTATTCATTAGAGATTGGTTCCAGGACCTCCCTCAGATACCAAACTCTGCAGATGCTCAAGTCTCTGAAATGAAATGGTTCAGTACTTGCATATAACCTTGTTCATCCTCCAGTATACTTGAAAACATCTCCAGATTACTTACAGTACCTAACGTAATATTATAAATGATATGTAAATAGTTAAACTGTGTTGTTTAGGGATAGTTAACCTGTGTTGTTTAGGGAATAATGACAAGAAAAAAATGTACATGTTCAGTACAGATGCAGTTATTTTTTCCATCTGCTGTTTAGTTGACCGTGGATGTGGAACCCACAGGTACAGAGGGCTGACTAAAATTGCTTTTAACTTGCTTTATTCTGTGTATTCATCATATATATTTTTGTTTGTTTGTTTGTTCTTGTTTTGAGATGGAGTTTCACTCTTGTTGCCCAGGCTGTAGTGCAATGGCCCGATCTCAGCTCACTACAACCTCCGCCTTCTGGGTTCAAGCAATTCTCCTGCTTCAGCCTCCCAAGTAGCTGGGATTACAGGCATGCGCCCCCACGCCCGGCTAATTTTTTGTATTTTTAGTAGAGATAGGGTTTCTCCATGTTGGTCAGGCTGGTCTCGAACTCGCGACCTCAAGTGATCCACCCGCTTTTGAAAGCCTCCCAAAGTGCTGGGATTATAGGCGTGAGCCCCCGCGCCCGGCCATCCTATATTTTTTGACCATCATTTGATAAAATAAATAATTTAAACCTGCTGTTAGAAAAGTAACAACTGAATAAATAATGCAATAATTATACAGCTGGATTATTTTGTATAATTCACTTTCCTTAGGTTTTGCTTAAACAACTTGGTACAAGTCTATTCCAAAAGGTACACATGACTCATACAGAGTAGACATTTGTCACATATTTTATTCGGCTCATTAATTAGCAAGGGAATCTGTATTTGAGGAAGTGTTCAATATTAGAATATTAGAATAGGGATTGCTAGGTTAGATTACAAAACTAATGTCTTACAGGGAAACCTCATATAACATGAGCATTTATTTAGTAACACAGTGTTACATTTTCCTAGAATGGGCTTGTTAAATAATGCTTCTGTATGATATTGAAAGGGTGTAGTTATCTTGGCCTTTTTGTCAGGTTTTAGATAATTATTTTTAACATCGGAAATTGTTTTATAATCAGTTAAGCCCTGTGAATTTTTATCTTGCCAATTTTAAGCTCATGATGATTTTTTAGATACAGGTTCTCCCTCCCCCGCAAGCTCCTTGTGAAGTCCAAACCCACATTTAGAATTGACAGAACTGGGGTGTTCCAACTTTCAAAGTGGAAAGCTTCTAGGTTTGTCTTAGGTTTCTCCAGGATATTAAGGTGTTTGAGCTACTTAAGTTCTTATTTTTTGGAACCAAAAGGTTGGATGAATTGGCTAAAAGTCAGTTTTGTCATACTGGTTGTTTCAGGAAGAGAAAGGGAATTTTCTTATTTACGATTTTGTGTCTCACTTAGCCTGAAAGCTTTAATTCCTCAGAATAGTCTTTATGTCTGTGAAAGTAAGCCATGTGTAAAGCCATGTGTAAAATTGTAATTTTTAAAATTTCAGTTTCCCAGTTCACTATAATTTTTTTTTGTTCTTTTCTCCCTTGAATGGCTTGGCTTAAAATGTTTTCTTATAATAAAGAAAAAGCCTGCCTGTTCTGAGTGAAGCTCTACCTCACAACAGGAAGCTGGTGCTAATTGGTATTCTGCAGGAGGCTTCTTGCAGTGGTATTGCATAACTGCCCTTGACTTAGGAAGATTTTCATCCTGCATATCCTAAATGGTTGACTTGCTCACAGTCAAAAATGTCTAAGTACATTTAGATTTAGCTAATGTAGATTCAGATTCTGAATGTCTTTTAGAATATTTTGGGCTTTGGTATAGACTCAAAGAATTTCACATTTTTGGCTGGGCACAGTGGTTCACGCCTGTTATTTCAGCACTTTGGGAGGCCGAGGCGGGCGGATCACCTGAGGTCAGGAGTTCGAGACCAGCCTGACTAACATGGTGAAACCTCGTCTCTACTAATATTACAAAAATTAGCTGGGCATGTTGGCAGGCGCCTATAATTTCTTTGGGAGGCTGAGGCAGGAGAATCACTTGAACCCGGGAGGCGGAGGTTGCAGTGAGCCGAGTCGTGCCATTGCAGTCCACCCAGCCTAGGCGACAGAGTGAAACTCCACCTCAAAAAAAAAAAAAAGTTATTTTAAAATAAAGATTAACTAATTTCCTTATTGAATGTGAGATGAATTGCTCTGAAAAGATGTGTTTTTAAAACACAACATAGCTTTGTTGTTGCTGTTATTACGGAGTTTTGCTCTGTCGCCCAGGCTAGAGTGCAGTGGCGCAATCTCAGCCCACTGCAACCTCTGCCTCCCGGGTTCAAGCACTTCTCTCCCTCAACCTCCTGAGTAGCTGGGATTACAGGTGCCCACCACCACGCCCGGCTAATTTGTTATATTTTTAGTAGAGACGGGTTTCACCATCTTTGCCAGGCTGATCTTGAGCTCCTGTCCTCATGATCTACTCACCTTGGCCTCTCAGTGCTGGGATTATAGGCGTGAGCCACCGTGCCCAGCTCAACGTGGCCTGTTTAACTTGAGTTTTACATTTTTTAAATTCCCCTTAGAGAATGATTTGATCAGATTATTAATTGCTCATATTTCAGAGAAAGCACGAGAAAATATAGTTTTGACATCACTTTCTGTAATTTTTTCTTTTTAGAGGAGGTTTTACAAGTTTTCATTTGCAATGAAAACACAAGCCTAAATCTTACTTTTCCAAACTGGGCTTCTGAATTATAATTTGTGAATGCAAATCAAGCAGTGGAAAAATTATCTTTAAGAAAATAGCTTATGTCGCTTTAAAAAATAAAATTAATCCTTTCCTAAGCATGCTTCCATCTGTATTGTCTAGGGAACATCAATTCATTCAGCTCTGCGGGCTCCTTACTGTATACATATAGTTATGCAGCTTCATAGAACATGAGCTATTGCCACAATAAAAATAAGTGGGAAGGAGCAGAGAAGCAGTTTGTCTTATTTTACTCGGGAAATGTTTATGCAACTCTGAAATGTGAGTTTATTCTTCCCAAGCTTTTGTGCTTAGCTCTAAGGCAGGACTACCTAATACCACTCTCACAGCCAGCCATTTGAAATTTGGGATTCTGAGCAATCTAAAGAGTAACTTGTCTCTGGAACTGACCTTTTGCTGACCGGGAGTCCTCATAACTTGGATTTTGTGTGGGTTGTTGTGTCTTTGGTGCCACTGCTGCTCATTCATTCAGCACCTCAGTGATGCTGTTTTTCATACTGTTCGATTGGTCGGGGGTGTGATGGGCGAAGCAGTCTAATATAATTAAGCTAGTTAGGGTAAGGGACAGTACTGCTGATGCTGAGTGAGCCTCAGTGAGTTTTATTAAAGTTGTTTTCGTAAATGAAAGAGGTTGTTTGCCTTTGTCCTAAGCTAACAAAGGTAGTTTATTTGTGTAGCATTTTTTAAAAATCCCTTTTAAATACTCTGATGCGCTCTCCCCCTACAGATGTTCATTCTGGACAGAGTGGAAGGTGATACTTGTTCCCTTAATGAGTTTACCATAACTGGATCAACTTATGCACCTATTGGAGAAGTGTGAGTAACCCTCCTCCTCATTTAAAGGATCTGGTGTGGCAGTTTAGTATTTGTATTGATTTGCAGCATGTCTACAAAGTTAAGACAGCTTTCTGAATGTGGCTCAAGTCAACACTTATTACTAAAGTAGTAAATGTTTTTAAAACAAAAACTTTGAAAGATGAACCAAAGGTTATAATCCAGTCATCTTTTTGCATCTTCTGGGCTCCAAACTTTCAAGAGGGATTTGTGTTTGTTATTCACTGTAGCCAGTGGTGGAAGAATTGAATTAAGAATTTCTGGTCTTTTTACTGATTGATTTCTGATACCAGAGATGCATTCTCTCTTTTGTTTTTGTCTAATATTGGCTCTGGCATCAAATTGTTTGGAATTTTTTCCAGTATGTTGTCCCAGAAATTCTGTTTTCATTATTAAACAATTGCGGGGGGGCAGGGGGCGGGAGGAATCAATAGTGGCGACCATACCCTGCTCTAAGAGTGTTTTCTCTTTGGGCAGGCATAAAGATGATAAACCAGTGAATTGTCACCAGTATGATGGTCTGGTAGAATTAGCAACAATTTGTGCTCTTTGTAATGACTCTGCTTTGGATTACAATGAGGTAAGTCTCTTCATAAATTAGAAGGAATGGCTGTTCCTAGTTCAAGGGTGGGGTGGGTGGAATGAAAGTCTAGCCTGCCTTCCTCCCTTTTGAAAGTCAAGGGTGCCTGATTTTGTTTCCCCCTTCCATTCAGAACCTGATGGTGGGGCCAGCATGACCTCACCAAAGAAAGCTGAGAGCCTTTCACATATCCTCTGTGACTGAGCATTGCAGTTAGTTAACTTAAAGTTGTAGTATATGTGATGTTCTTTCTGTTGATAGCATACTTACTATAAATGAATAAAACCCAGGATAGAAAATGCTTTCCTGAAAGCAAAGGATATAGTTTCTGTCTCAAAGGTAAGCTAGTCCCTGTCAGAGACAGAATGTGAACTCTTCAGAATGATAAGCAGTGACATGGAATTACATTATTATGTGAAGGCACTCTTTGAATTAATAGTGTGATCAGTGGCTTCTTATATTTGGGTGAAATAATAAATACTGTGTTTGATGTCATCTTATATTTAAGGGAAATGAAAAACCTACTTATTAGAATAAGATCACATGCACACCTGTACTTTGAGTATGTTTTTAATTATCTGGGTCACCTGTTTCAGAGGAGGATAAAAATGGCCTTACAGTGTTGTAATAGAGGACAGATTGTGCTTTTGTGGAAAAAAAATATTAAAGATAAATTTATCTGTGTACTTCTCCCTTTTTTCTACTTTCTGTGCCTTTAACCAATACAGGCAAAGGGTGTGTATGAAAAAGTTGGAGAAGCTACAGAGACTGCTCTCACTTGCCTAGTAGAGAAGATGAATGTATTTGATACCGAATTGAAGGGTCTTTCTAAAATAGAACGTGCAAATGCCTGCAACTCAGTGAGTATTTGAACCTGGTTTATTGTTCATGCTGCTTATCAGTCGTACTATATATACTTAGTGTCTGCACTGTCCTACTCTCTTAGAAAACTAATTATACCTTATCTCCTCAAACTTACAGTATTTCCTTCCCCATATTCACTCTCAGGTAAGATGCTCTTCCTGTGTATTTGACCAGGAAAATAAAAGCAATCAATAGCTAATTTCCTTGAGCGACCCTCTGGGCCCACAGGGGCTGCCTTCTCCCATAGTGCTGTGAACAGTGTTCTTGCTCCTAGCAGAAGCCACCTCCTCCCAACATCTTTGCTGCATTATTGATTTCCATCTCTACTAGATGTTCTTCAGCATAGGGGGAAATAATAGTGTCTTTCTATCTTGAAACTTTCCTTTGACCTTATTTCCCCTGTCAGCTACCACACTTTCTTTTCCTGTTCAATTAAACCTTTTTTTTTTTTTTTTTTTTGAGACAGAGTTTCTCTCTGTCACCAGATTGGAGTGCCATGGCGCGATCTTGGCTCACTGCAACCTCCACCTCCCAGGTTCAAGCGATTCTCCTGCCTTAGCCTCCCTAGTAGCTGGGATTACAGGCACACGCCACCACGCCTGGCTAATTTTTTGTATTTTTCGTAGAAAGGGGTTTCACCATGCTAGCCAGGCTGGTCTCGAACTCCTGACCTCAGGTGATCCGCCCACCTCGGCCTCCCAAAGTGCTGGGATTACAGGCATGAGCCACCGCGCCTGGGCATCAAACATTTCTTAACTCATTTGATGAGACCAGCATAACCAAATACCAAAGGTCAATGTGGTGATGGTGGTGGCAGTGGCAGTGGCAGTGGCAGAGGGCACCCACATTGTTCATGTATACACTGAACAAATAAGTGGCCTCTGAGCCTTTTTCTGCCTGTCAGAGTCTTTGAGACAGGGCTCATTCGACCAGCATCACTATGACAAGGGCCAGTAGCAAGGATGGGGAGTCTCCACAGTGAGTTGGACCTGAGTGAGGTTCCTCTCAAAGAGCTGCTGCTCCCTCCTGCCAAGACCACCATACTGGACCTGTCCTGCAGTACTGCCCTTAGATTTCTGTGGCCTCACAAGCCCGGGGAGCCTAGACCTCAGTAGAAACACTTTGCAACGGCTGCTGGTGAAGAATGGCCATCCATTGAGTCTCTAGCACCTGGGTCTCCTCAAAAGACTGGTCCCCCTGCCTGTCACTTGGCTCAGCTTAAGAACTTGAAGTGGACCAGGCGCAGTGGCTCACACCTGTAATCCCAACACTTTGGGAAGCTGAGGCGGGAGAGTCACTTGAGGCCTAGAGTTTAGGTTGCAGCATCACTGCACTTGAGCCTGGGCAACAGAGTCAGACCCCATCTCAAAAAAAAATTAAGGCCTGAAGTGGCTAAACTTGAAGGATAACTCCCTTTATCTTATCCTGGCCAAAGTGGTAGATGATTGCTTGGATGAGAAGTGATATGCAGATAAGATGTTGCAATACACAAAGTCTGTGTGGGTCAGTCGGTCACGTGGGTGCCAAGGACAGGTGGGAGAGAAGAAGCAAGCTACAGAAGCAGCTCAAGAATGGGAACTGCGGAAGCTGATTGTATTGGAGGAAGGAGTGTGATGCTCTCAGAGCAGCCAGGGAGGAGCAGAAGGAGCTTAGGGACGTAAGTCAGGCTCTCAAAGTCTATGTCTGGTTCCTGCCCCCACAAACCACCACCCAGGAAACATCATTCCTGAGCTGTGTGGCAGCAGCAGCAGCTGCTCCTTTTATATGGCAGACAGGGTGATTGCTTGTTGGGCAAGAGCCCTCCTACACTATCTTAGAGTGAATACCCTCTATCTGCAGTCCAGGGTCTGCACAGCCACATGGTCCTCTAATAGGTCCACCAGACCATTTGCCTGCAAACAGCCTCATCCTCAGTGCCCACTGTCTCCTAGCTGTGGAGCTTGGATTCCTATGGAATTGGGTTCTGCTGAACATACCTCTTTTTAGCATCAGACCTACCTGTCTGTCATCACCATGGGGCTGCCAGTCAGTACTTTTGCAGCCTCTTTATAGGACATTGTTGTAACTTAGGGTTCCCTGGTAGAATAAGGAGCGATGGGAAGGGGAGAGGTTCTGCCTGCCTGAAGGAACAGGTCTGGGGGAGGAGAGAGGTAAAACTCAGCCTTTTCTAGTTGTCATACACAGCTGTATAAAGGCAAGCCTCATTTAGCAAAATGATTAGTTGTCACCACGTTTAATGCTTTTTGTATGTCATAAGCCCTTTCATCCCTTCCTGGATAATAAGGGCAAATGAGGAGGCATTGTGTCATTGGGGGGTAGTACAGCCTGAGTTGGGAGGGAGCAGTATACCTGTTTTCTTAATAACCTCAAATATCAGGCATTTTAGTGACCACACAAAATCTCAGGGTGAAAAGTTCTAGACCATCATGTCCAGCCTGCAGTTAGGGACACCTAGCCCTTCCATGACCTGTATGGCGTGGTCTTCCGGTTAGTGTGAGGCAGCATTTTGTCTCCTTTATACTGTCCTGAGAAAACAAAACTCACACTGGAATTGAGACTGTCTCAGCTGAAATATAGATTCCTTTTCAGTAAACTGATGCACAATTCACAAATAGCAGTCTCAAAGCCATGAAGGCCTTGGACCACTCCTTTGGCTTCTTCCCTCTACCCATGTGTCTTCCATGAACCCGAAGCAGTCCAGGCTTATTCACTCTGCCAGTAAGCAAGGAGTTGGATCCTGGCAGAGCCACGCTGCCTGTGATCTATTAGTTGGTGTAACTAAAAATCTGAGGCAGCCTGAAAACAGCTTCACAGATTGAGGGTTTGAGTCGTTTGATTCTAGACCTCTGACTACTCCACTGAGTGATGGGAAACAAGTCATGTAATGGGGCTGAACCAGCACTGGCTCACTAGCCAGTGACCACACAAGTACGGGCAATACTGTCATCCTTGTGTCTCCCTGCTCCAGAGCTCCCTTGTCCCATCTTTTTCACATCCCTTGGCCAAGGGATCGGAAACAGCTGTCATGCTGCTCATTCACTAAGGAGTTCCAAACACAAGCTCTTTGCCTCCCTTCCCACTTGAGACAGCAGGAACCCATGTGTAGTTTAGAAGCAGAGAGAGCAGGTCCAGCATTTTGGCCCCATGGCTTGTTTGGTGAGGTCTGTGGTTCTTGGCCAGCCTAGTACTGAAAGGGATTTCCCTCCCCCACTCCCAGCCCAAGACCTCTTACCTGGGTAGGTCCACGCCTTCCTCAGAATCATTGCGTGTTCCTTTAGTCATCCCAGTGCCATTGGCGCAAATGCTTAATTGAAACTAAACACACGTGTGATTGAGATGATACAGAATCTAGCGTAGCACTCATACCCATTCCTTTGCTGCCTGAGACGGTTCAGTGGCTGGCAGGCCAGCAGGATCGCTGCAGGGCCCTGAGCCCCATCTAGTCAGTTCATCAGCCTTCAGTCCTCCCGTAGCTTCCTAGGTTAGATGCTGATGTTCTTGGGGATTTCTATGATGATTTTTAAATGTGTGTCAGTGGGAGCAAATATAATTAACTCACCACATTAACCAAATTAAGGTGGAAAAAACAATAAGGTCACCTCAGTAGGTGCATATGATGAAACGCATCTTATCACACCAAACTAAGACTATAAAAGTGTGTCTTTAACGCTGACAGTGTGTTTACACAGAGACCATGCTAACATAACAGAATTCTCACCATTTCTATGCAGTATTATACTGGCATTCCTGGTCTGTGTAATAGGCAAGAAAAGTACAAAAACTGGAAGAGAAGGGGTATCTTTAGTTGTAGGTAACGATATAAAGCCAAAGGTTTATTCTCAGTCTTCGTCTTCCTATTTTGTTGGTGCTGTCACTCGCTCCCTCTTTGAAGCACCTCTTCACTTGGCTTCCACGATCCCATACTTGCTCTCCCTCCCTGGCCTCTCATTCGAGGTCTTTGTAGCTGGGTCTTTCACAAGGCACCAGGAGGTGAAGGCTCCATAGTCCTCAGCCATTTCTGTCTATAGTTACTCCCATGATCTCTTCTGGTCTCATTACTATAATCAGTAGCCACTAGCTATCTAAAACTACTTAGAATACCTAAAAACACTTCCTTAGATGCCCTAGCCATATTCACTTAAAGTGCTTATCCATCACGTGTGACAGCCACATGAACAGTGGCCACAGAGCATTGCCATCTTTCACAGAGTTCTGGTGGACAGCTCTGCTTGGGGCCATCTCTTCACCTCCAACGTTCCCTAGTTTAAGTCAGTGTCATTATACTGAATGGTATTCCTTGTCTCCCTTCAGCCAATGCTTTTGTTTTTTGAGATGGAGTTTGCTCTTTCGTCCAGGGTGGAGTGAAGTGGCGCAATCTCATCTCACTGGAATCTCTGCCCCCCTGGCTTTAAGCAGTTCTCCTGCCTCGGCCTCCTGAGTAGCTGGGATTACAGGTGCCTGCCACCACACCTAGCTAATTTTTGTAGACAGGGTTTCACCATGTTGGCCAGGCTGGTCATGAACTGCTGACCTCAGGTGATCCACTGCACCCGACCACCTTCAGCCAATTCTTGACAACTGGAGCTTGAGACCCTCCGTTGTCTTCTGTTTTACTTGTCTTAAAAGCCAAATGCCCCATAATGACTTTTGAGGTCTTAATGACCTGCTTCTACCATCCTCTGCCATTACCTGCCTCACCTTTTGCTCATGTAAACTCTATTCCAGCCACGTTGGCACTCCTTTACCATTCCAGGACTTGCCAGGTTGC